>NC_000021.9:8310971-8472360 GCF_000001405.40 Homo sapiens
GATCTGGGCCCTCTGCAATGTACACTTGAGGCTGCTTCCATGGAGGGAAAGATTTTCTTTTCCCAAATCTTGGATCTGGCTGGCCTTATTTGCTCTGCCTCATTCATACTTTTTGTTCTAATAAAATAATTAAGATGTTTAGCGTCTCATCCCAGCCTTTATCTTGTTAAAACTATATCTTATGATATGTCATCTCTCTTTACTATATTTGGTTATATTCATTCTATTCAATACTCAGGTAATTTTTTATCTCTGTTTAATTTAGTGTTTCACCTATACCTTGTCCTAATTTTTTTATTCTTTACATTCTACCGAGCTGTGATTCAAATATGATATTTGAATATGGAAAATGGTGGCCTAGTTTTTCTTCAGAAATTTCTTTTTATTTACTTGTGTTCTTTAGTTTTTAACTTGGTTCCAATATTTGGGAAATATCACATTTGAGATGTCTGTAGTCATGTTATTTCTGTGCTTATTCCATTTTCCCTTGGAGGAAGGTGGACAGCATACAGACTTGACATCCTTGTGATCTATCAGTATCTGAAGGGACCACTTTTTTTCAGTTTGATTACTTCTCTGGCTTATTCTCTTGATTTACTTTAGCTTTCATCAAGTGCTTCTATATTTTTAAACTGTATTCATTATTTTCATAGTTCTTGTAGCTTCTTGAGAACTTTTACTTGTCTACACTAAAATATTTAAAAATATGTAGCCTTTTCTTCTGAAAGCACAAATATGCAGTGTACACATGAGTAGAATATTTCATAGGCATTGGGCAGCATACAACCACATCTTATGAGATATTCCGTTTCTTCATTCAAAACATCTCTCTCAAATATGTAGTAATAGTCACTTGTAAGGGGTAGTTCTTTTGATACTTAAAATTTTCTTTTATGTGCCTTTATGAAAATATATACTTAACTACAGAGAACAGAACTCTGTGCTTCCTTTTAGTATGTCCTTGACCTCACAAAAATAATTCATGAAATCTTATATTTATTTTATAAATTAATTTAATGAAACAAAATTTGTGCATGGCTAAATATTACTTGTTGAGTACAATTTAGAATTTCTACTGTCATTTTAGTGTCCTAAAAGATATGAGCTGTTGAATTTCTGCTCTCATAAAATGAATGATATTGTTAGGCCTAAACCCTTGCCATTTATTTTCCCCCTCTGTCATACAGTGTGTATCTTTGGTTCACTGCTGAAAAATTTTATTAATTTTTCTCTCTTGCTAGTAGTCATACTTTCTAATAAAGTTATCATTACTTGTGTTTATTTAGTTACTGTATGTTAAACATTTGATTTCTGATGGTCTTAATGTCATTTAATATAATTGTAAATATTTCAATTTGTCATTATTAACAAATTTCTGTATTATATGTTTTAGACTCAGCTATTAAGTATATGTGGGTAAATGACTTAGAATAATTTCTAAAACATTGTAGGGGCTACTAAGTACTAATAACCCTGATTCATTAAATTTTTATTCCTTATAATATTCTTTATTGACTAAATTATTTTGTAATCTTATTTAAATTTATTCTTTTCTTTTCTAAATATTTGTGAAAAAGGGGTTAGGCTAATGTGTCATTTTGATAAAACTTCATGTCAAATGATATGTTTCACTGGTTTCTTTTAGATGTAATAGCTTTTTTGACTCAGGCAATACATGCAAGTATGAAGTATAAAAATTATAGTCTCAATCCTTAAGCTGAGTAAAAACTTGGCTATTTATTGATTTTAACAAAGCTACATTATCCCACATAATACGTAAAACTTTCACAAAGCTACATTATCCCACATAACAGGCATACCAGCTGCCTATATCTGGAAACATGGATTGTTACAAATTAGAAGTAAATAACTTGATAGGCCCAATTTAACAAATGAAGCTCAAGAAGTGGGAGATATGAGACCTATAATGAAAGATTAAATTATTTTAAAAATCTTACCACAAAGAAAAATCAGAGTCAAATACTTTAACTGTTAAATTATACAAAATATTTCATAAAAATACCAATCCTTTACAAATACACACCATACATAGATAAGAGATAAACAACCCCTAACTACTTTATGAGGCCAATATTACTATACCAAAGCCAGACAAACCCATCATGTGTTAGGATTAATATGGGTACATACGGCTGATAAATAAAGACACATAATTCTCAAAAAGTACTAATAAGTTAAATACAGAAACACGTAAAAGTAATTATACACCATGGCCAAGTACAATCTTTTTACAAATGAAGTGGCTTAATATCTAAAAACCAATAATTTAATACACAACATTGATAAAGTGAAGAACATAAAATGATCCTTTTAATAGACACAGAAAAGCTTGTGATACAAACAACACTGATTCATTATAAAATCCTTAACATACTAGGAAGGAAAAACTTACTGGAACTACTAAAAAGGATTCATAAAAATTTCCCACTAATATTACACTTGCTGATGAAAGACTAGGCTCTTTGCCTCACAGTTGTGGGAAACAGATAAGCATGGCTACTTTCGCTACTCTACTAAATTGAACTAAAGGTGTTAGGCAGAGAAATTATATAATAAAAACAAATAAAACTTCTAAATTTATAAAATAAACTTTTATTGTAAATGGCATCAACTTATATTCAAGAATTTTTAAAGAGTTTACAAAAATCAACTGGAACTAATAAATGAGTTCAGCAGGTCACAAGATACAAGATAAATGCACAATATTAAATTGCACTTTTATACAGTAACTAAGGGCAATCAGTAAATAAAATTAGAAAAAATAATTCTACTCATTAGCTCAATGTGTAGTGGCTTAAAATTCCAAATATGCATTATGTCTTATTTTCTGTTGGCTACAAATACTGACACAGCTTAGTTGAATGGGTCTACCACAATGTCCTCATGTGTCCGGAATTGGTCGGTTCTTGGTCTCACTGACTTCAAGAATGAAGCCGCGGACCCTCACGGTGAGTGTTACAGTTCTTAAAGGCAGCGTGCCTGGAGTTTTTCCCTTCTAATGTCAGCATGTGTTTGGAGTTTCTTTCTTCTGGTGGGTTCGTGGTCTTTCTGGCTCAGGAGTGAAGCTGCAGACCTTTGTGGTGAGTGTTACAGCTCATAAAGGCAGTGTGGACGCAAAGAGTGAGCAGCAGCAGGATTTATTGCAAAGAGCGAAAGAACAAAGCTTCCACAGTGTGGATGGGGACCCGAGAGGGTTGCCACTGCTGGCTCGGGCAGCTGCTTTTATTCTCTTATCTGGCCCCACCCACATCCTGCTGATTGGTCCATTTTACAGGGAGCCAATTGGTCTGTTTTACAGAGAGCTGATTGGTCCCTTTTCACAGGGTGCTGATTGATGCATTTACAATCCTTGAGCTAGACACAAAGTTCACCACGTCTCTACTAGATTAGCTAGATACAGAGTGTTGATTGGTGTATTTACAAACCCTGAGCTAGACACGGGGTGCTCATTTGTGTGTTTATAAACCTTGAGCTAGATACAAAGTGTCGATTGGTGTATTTACAATCCCTTATCTAGACATAAAGTTTCTCCAAGTCCCCACCAGACTCAGGAGCCCAGCTGGCTTCACCCAGTGGATCCCGCACCAGGGCCGCAGGTGGAGCTGCCTGCCTGCCAGTCACACGCTGTGCTCCCGAACTCCTCAGCCCTTGGGTTGTCGATGGGACTGGGTGCCATGGAACAGGGGGTGGAGCTCGTTGGGGAGGCTCGGGCCGCACAGGAGCCCTTGGCAGGAGTGGGGGAGAGGCTCAGGCAAGGTGGGCTGCAGTTCCCGAGCCCTGCCCCGTGGGGAGGCAGCTAAGGCCTGGCGAGAAGTCGAGCACAGCAGCTGCTGGCCCAGGTGCTAAGCCCCTCACTGCCTGGGGCTGGCGGGGCCAGCTGGCCGCTCCAAGTGCGGGGCCGCCAAGCCCACGCCCACCCGGAACTCGCGCTGGCCCGGAAGCACCGCGGGCAGCCGCGGTTCCTGCCCGCTCCCCGCAAGATAAGGGAGCCGGCTCCGGCATTGGCCTGCTGAGAAAGGGGCTCCCACAGTGCAGCGGTGAGCTGAAGGGCTCCTCAAGCGCGGCCAGAGTGGGCACCAAGGCTGAGGAGGCACCAAGAGTGAGCGAGGGCTGTGAGGGCTGCCAGCATGCTGTCACCTCTCACTCATGAGACTGAAGCTGTGTCTCAACTGAAGCTTGACTGGGAAGGATGCACTTCTGAGCTCAATCTGGTTAGTTGTGCATTATTGTTTTGACTCAGTTCTTAGTTTCTTTCTGTCTTTGGTCAGGGCACTCTCTCTATTCTCTGTCACACAAGCCTGTAAAAATGAAAGCTTAAAACACTGAAGCTCGCTTCTCCAGAGCAAAGTATGCGACAGACAGAGAGAAAGACAGGAAAAAAGGAAGTAAACAATATCACAAGAGAGAGAAAGTAAGAAGCAAGTGACAATCTTTTCATAATCAAATATTGGCAGTGACATTCCCTATTTTCCAATGTATTCTACTGCCATGAAGTGAGTCACTAACCACTTACTGTTTACATTTGGGTGTGTATAGTTGGAAATAAAAATTATTATGAGCCATCATGAAGGCTGTGCACTACGTATGCCAAGGTGAGACAAATGGGCCTGATTCTAAATATAACGAGAAGGTACTACAATGTGTGTTGTTGTTATTGTTGTTGTTCTGGCCAAAGAATAACAACATCTAAATTTTATTCAATTTCAATGTTTTCATGGTGGAGTTTGAAAAATAAATTCAAGAGGGGACATGACTTTCTCAAGATTCAAGTTATAAAACCCAGGCATGTTTGAGAGATATTCAAGCAATGTCCCATCCCTTGTAGTTTCTTTCTCTAAGTTTATGCAGTAGCTGTGTTTAATATCAAACCCAACAGTCATGCGTATCATTTTATACATATCTCATGAGATCCCTTGCAGCTGGATGCCACCATAATCCCCACTGTGCAGGCTGTGAGACTATGGAGCCCCTGAGAGGCACAATGACATACTTGGCATCACATAATTAATACATTAAACATAAAGACTTTAACTCAGCTTGTATCCTCAAACTTGTGGCTCTGGCTGCATTCCATTTCCTCCGGCACTGGTGCAGGAGGTGCTGTATTTGCATAATTGTGCACAAGTAATCAGATGACTTGGGAGAGAATGGTGAGCAGTCAGCAGTGCAGAAAAGCCTTTGAGTAGGTCTTATTGAAGGAAGATAGGTCTTATTGAAAGAAGAATAATACCTTCAAGAAGTGACCTCATTTCTTTGGTGAAAGGTCCTAACAGTACTAAGTATTCTGGTAACCAAAAACTCACATTCTAAAGACAGTCCACCATGCAGCACTGTTGGCCAGAATCTCTCAAGAGAGAAAGATGTTCTGCTGTATAACAACTTTCTGAGGCTCTTTCTTGTGAGGTTCTGTTCCTCACAAGTAGCACCTTCTAGCTATGTCTTCACACGACAGAAGGGGCATGAATATTCCTTTCAACCTCCGTCACACGGGCACTATTATTTTCTCGTTAACATGCAGCCCTCCTGACTTAATAACTTTCTCAAAGTTCCAATAACTAATAGTATCACACTGAATCCACGTGTGGATTAAGTTTTTAAATATGAATGTGGAGAGTGAGGAACACAAATATCCAGACCATAGCAAAAAGTTAATAAGCAATAACAATTGCAGTGGACAGTATTATTAATGCTTGGGATATGGGAATTTGATGTTTCTATCACAAAGGTTAAACAATGGTTTATCCTTGGCCGGGCATGATGGCTCAAGCCTGTAATCCAAGCACTTTGGGATGTCAAGGCAGGCGGATCACAAGGTCAGGAGATCGAGACCATCCTGGCTAATACGGTGAAACCCCGTCTCTACTAAAAGTCCAAAAACATTGCTGGGTGTGGTGGCGGGCGCCTGTAGTCCCCGCTACTAGGGAAGCTGAGGCAGGAAAAAGGTGTGAACCCAGGAGGTGGAGCTTTCAGTGAGCTGAGATCACACCAGTGCACTACAGCCTCGGAGACACAGCAAGACTCCATCAAAAAAATAAAATTAAATTAAAACATATAACAAAATTAAGGTCCAATTAAAGGTAAATATATATAGCAAAAAAAAAATTCAAGCTCTGATAAGGTTAATTGTAACAGATTGTGCCAGAATTTTGAGATTTCTGGAGATGGACAGAGCCCAAGAGTTTCCTTCTATAACAATTTCTGTGAAGTTTCTTACACTCTTATTCAATTTGAACGTGGATAAATGGGTTTTCTCTGTTTTGTTATTTAAGAGATTCATGATAAGGAAGGCCTATTTATGCATGATTCTTAAACAATTATTGAGTCAGTGGTGTCTGCTGAGGAAGGGCACAGAATCTCATGCCCACAGAAGCATGATGTTCTGTCAGATAGGAGACTTCTCCCAGAGCCAGAACTTCATCTTTCAAATGGAATTAGAGATTTTCACAGGCATACATTGCTCTGAAGCCCTATCAGAGGCTTAGCACTGAGAATATGACCAAAGAAGGTGACTAATAAACATATGACCTAGTACTCTGATCTACAGTGATTCTACCCTCTCAAATAGCTCTTCCCTGGCTCTGGAATCTTTTCTGGATTCATCTACCAGAAACAGATACACTGAAAGATTGAGAAGAAGCTTTTATTCTCACTGTGAGTCTTGCCCTGTCTCACCATCTTCTCTAGAAGTGCAATGTTCTAACTATTCCTGAGAGACTTCATCTCAGGTAGCTCTCTCTGACAACATAATTGAGAAGAGAAACGAGCAAGACTCAGATTATTTTGAAGGCTTGTCTAGGGTTCTTACATGATTTATGTCTCCAATTTATGTCAATATTGACAAATATAGATTCATCTCTAGATGGTAGAAAAACAGAAGGAGGAGCCTCTGCTCACAGAGAAAATAAAAGATGAATTCAATGTTTTGTAGAGCCAGCTTATTTTAAACCATGGGGCATTTAATCTTTTTAGAAAAAAACAAAAGCAATAGGGTTTTTTGTTTTTGTTTTTGCTTTTGCTTTTGTGTTTTCGTTTTGGTTTTTTTTTGTTTGTTTGTTTTTTCCCTGAAGCAACTCAACTGTGGCCTCAGACAACTGGGCACTGAGAACGCATGCTCCTCACTAGAATTTCATTACTACATTGCAGAGAAATGGGATAATTACAAAGGATTTTTTTTTTTTTGAGATGGAGTCTTCCTCTGTCATCCAAGATGGAGTGCAGTGGCATCATCTCAGCTCACAGCAACCTTGGTCTCTCAGGTTGAAGCAATTCTCCTGCCTCAGCCTCCCAAATAGCTGGGACTACAGGCATGTGCCACCTTGCCTGGGTAATTTTTATATTTTTAGTACAGACTGGGTTCCACCATGTTGGCCAGATGGTCTCGATTTCCTGACCTCGTTATCCACCCTCCTTGGTCACCTAAAGTGCTGGGTGTGAGCTGCTGTGCCCAGCCCAAAGGATTCTTAAGGGTGATATGGGGGATGGAATGGAAAAAATAAACTTAGTCTTTGCACTTCCACCTGGTCTAACTAACCCTACTCTCATCCTATCCCAAAATTATTGCCAGACTTTTCTGGAGTGTGCCAGGGGCAATTCAGAAGGAAAAGAGGTTATTCATGCCTATCCATTTCCCATAGCTCCTGAGATCTAAGTCGTTCACTCCCCTGGTTTCAGGTTGTTGCTCCCCTTCTATATCCTCAGAATTAATGTGATCCATTCCAATACTTATAATTGTACCTTTATCTGATCCCCTCCTATTTTGCTGTAGACATTTTATGTAGTAGATCCAGTTGTAATAGAGACAAGAATGTTTATATACACCATAATCAGAACTAAATTGGAGTTCCATAACCCCTTTTTTGACTGGGCTGCTACTCAGAAATCATACAAACCAGGCTGCCTGGAGGTTGCAGTTAGGAGAAATCACATCTTGCCCAGGAATGTCAGTGTGGAAACTCAGATTTGGAAAATAGATTCCTATAGCCCCAATCATTTTGCAACACTTCTGCAGAGTTAAAAGAAAGCCAGTATCTAACAGAAAATCTTGAGCTTGCAGAATAACAGAAAAGAAAAAAAAAACAAAAACACAACTTGCCAAAACACTGAAACTCCCTCTACTTATGAAATAAACAAACTGGCTTAAATTGGTGGAATCATTATGGCCAAATGGTGTTTTGGCAGAATCACCTTGCTGAGGTCACCGTCTGAATTTTCACTGCCTGTTTCATCACAACTCCCCTTCAGTTTGCCCATGACATCCATGAGGAGGCAATGAGCTTGAGAGTAACGTTTCAGTATAAAATTGCTTTCTCTTAAAAACCTGATGTCATAGTATTGGCTTCTAGCACTTCAAGAAGTGAGCTCCTTTTACTCAATAACAATGTTATCTATATCTTAGAGACAGTCAACAGGAGATAATCTCTTCTGGGACCAAAGAAGGTGACTAATAAACCATTTAATCAACACATTACCTAACCAAAAGCTGTGGACCCTGATGAGGAAAATAAGTTAAAATGAGACTATTGGCTCATTTTAATAGATATGGTGATAAAAGCAAAAAAAAAAAAAAAAAAAGAGAGAATTTAAGCGGTCTCAAATACCTAAAAGATGACATGGATTAGCTTCAAGTAACACATAATGTGGCTGGAGTCAGCTGATCTTTATGCTGAAAGTGTCAACAGTAGTGACAAATACTTCAAGTAACGGGTCAAAAGTCTAAGACAGTCATTCTGCCAGAAATGGTCTGGGACTTCCCCATACATGGGACACGTAGATCAACTTTCTCCAAGAACCACCAACCTGGCATGCAGTGATGACCTCTGCAGTAGACAGGGATTTAGGCTTGATTGTTGTTCATCTCTTTGGAGACATAACCCTAATTGTGAACTTCTAAATTAATGGCCTGACAATTAGATCAGCAGCTAAGATAAATTTCAGTTTGCAGCCCCAAAGAAGATGTTCTTAATTAGACAGTTAATCATTTTCAATATGGAAGCCTAAACACGTAGAATGTGGCAATAACCCGGAACTCTCAGTTCTGACAATTGAGTGAAGTAATCACCCCAGATTCAGGTTCCTCATTGGCTGACAATGAGATCAAACACCCACACCAGCCCAGTGAACACCATGAGGTGTCATCTTCCCTGGCCCATTAGTGAACCAGGAACAGATATTTAGAAAATATTCAGTAAATTGGGGAGTCCCACAGAGTCAGAAAGTTTGCTTGAGATAGTAGAGGGTGGCATAAAATTTCTACCGAATATGAATTTTAATTTTTACTTTAGTGCCGTTTCTATTTTAGTCTAATTTCCTTCTAGAATATGTTATTTCTATTTACCAAGTGGCCTCCTGTGGTCTTTTTCATAGAGTTCAAATCGACCCATCTAAAAACAGAAAGATCAAGCTAACGACCTCCCTCAGGGGTCAGAATTCAGTTTCACAGCTCTGTAGCAAGCTCATTGTTGACTTACAAATTAGTGTAACCAATAGTAACGTCATGGTGACCATAACTCCAACATCCCAAAAAGTACCTCAAGTTAGAGGCTGACTTCATTTATCAGAGGATTCAAATGGCAAAATCAAGCTTTACTAGATCACTGGATTACTGGAAGAAGTGAGCAATGCGAATCTGCAATATAGTTTCACTAAACTTTAATAGGACAGCAAGACTGTAGATATTTTAGCCCTCTCAAAATATGAATCTTCTGATCCTTTCATCTAGAATCTCTATGTGTGCCATAAAGTCCTAACTCTGCTTGTGCCTATACTTTCTGTTCATGCAGAGATTAAAAGACAAACAGGTGGGAGCTTAGTGTTTTAGCGTTTTTCCTGAGAATCTGTCTAGCCTAGAGCATCCCCATTTTTTTCTAGATTCCAAGGAGTACTATCACTATCCTAATTCTCAGTGTCTTGTTTCCAAGTATTTCCTCCTACGATTGTCAGCGTGACTACCTTTTTACCCCACTGATAGTGTTTGCTCCAGGTGAACTGGGTAGTTCATTTTTATTTAAATGCTTCCATAAGCGTTAAGCTATTAATTTAAGATTTCTTTGTTTTTTATAAAGTAATTCTGCTGTTTCCCTCAGAGCTCAACTTTCACTAAGTCTCATAAATTTTATTATGTTTTGTCTAAATGTCTATTTATGTTAAAATATTCTCTGACACTATTTGTACATTTTTTATTCATTAATTATTTAAGATTGTGTCATTTAATGCACACATGTTTGCATTTCCCAAATTTCTTGCTTTTTTGGTCTCTAATTTTCTCTTTTGTGATTAGAAAACATTCATTTTATTATTTCAATCTTTCAATTTTATTGATTTTTTTTATGATGCAGCATATTCTCCATTCTAGAGAATGTTCTATGTGCATTTGGGAAGAATATACATTCTGATTTGGGGTGAAGAGTTCTCCATATATCTCTAGTTTTATTTGGTTTATGTTATTCATGTCTTCTATTTCCTTGTTTCTCTTATGTCTAGTTCTTCTACCCAATAGTGTAAGTGGGGAAGTGAAGCTTGCAATTTTTATTGTTGAAACTATTGTTGCAACTATTTCTGCCTTTATTTCTATCAGTTTTGCTTTATGTACTTCTGTGAACTTTTGTTACATTCATATATGTTAATTTATTTTCCTCATGAATTTATCCTTCTAATTATAATCTATCTTCATCTCTAGTAATAGTATTTGTTGTCTTAAAGTATATCCTAATTTTTTTATTTTTGGTTTTTCTGGGTGCATAGTAGGTGTATACCTTTATGAAGTATATAGAATATTTTGATACCGTCATACAATGTGTAATAATTACATCAGAGTCAATGGGGTATTCATCACATGAAGTATTACTATTGGATTTCAAATAACCAAATTATACAATTTCTGTTATTTTAAAATGTACACTTAAATTATTCTTAACTAGAGTCACCTTGTGCTGTCAAATGCTAGAACTGATTCATTCTTTCTAACTATATTTTTATACCCATTAACCATTCCCACCTCCCCGCCCTCAACCTTCTACTACTTCTCTCAGCCTCTGGAGACCATCATTCTACTCTTTATCTCCATTAATTCTTTGGTTTTAATTTTTAGCTTTAACAAATAAGTGAGAACGTGTGAAGTTTGTCTTTCTATACCTGGCTTATTTCACTTAATAAAATGACCTTCAGTTTAACCCATGTTTTTACAAATGACAGAATCTCATTCATTTTTATGTCTGAATAGTACTACATTGTGTATATGTACCACTTTTTTGTTTATTCATCTGTCGATAAACACCTATGTTACTTCCAAATCTTGGCTATTGTGAATAGTGTTGCAGTAAACACAGGAGTACAGCTATCACTTCAATACACAGATTTTTCTCTCTTTTGGATATATACCTAACAGTGAAATTGCTGGATTGTACAGAAGCTCTATTTTTAGTTTTCTGATGAACCTTCAAGCTGTTCTCCATAGTGGTTCCACCAACTTACATTCCCACCAACAGCATATGAGGGTTCCCTTTTCTCCGCATGCTTGTCAGCATTTGTTATTGCCTTTTAGCTAAAACCCACTTTAACTGGGGTGAGGTAATAGCTCATTGTAATTTTGATTTGCATTTCTCTGATGATTCATGATGTTGATCATCTTTTCATATACCTATTTGCCATTTGCGTGTCTTTATTGGAGTAATGTCTGTTTACATATTTTGCCTATTTTTTAAAATAGGATTATTAGATTTTATTTTCTATAGAGTTATTTGAGCGCCTTCTATGTTTTGGTTACAAATCCATTTTCAGATAGGTAGTTTGAAAATATTTTCTTTCATTCTGTGGGTTGTTTTCTGACTTTGTTGATTCTTTTCTGTGCCATGCAAAATTTTATAACTTGGTGTGATACCAATTTTCCATTTTGCTTTGGTTGCCTGTGCTTGTGAGGTGTTACTCAAGAAATCTTTGCTTAATCCAAGGTTTTTTAGAATTTCCCCAATGTTTTCTTTCAGAAGTTTCATAGTTTGCAGTTTTACATTTAAATATTTAATCCATTTTGATTTAGTTTTTGCACATGGCAAAAGATAGAGGTCTAGTTTTATTCCTCTGCATATGGATATCCAGATTTACCATCACTGTTTATTGAAGAGACTGAGTTTTTATTCTTAATATATTTTCTTGGTGCCTATGTAAAAAATGAGTTCACTGTAGATGGATGGTTTGGTTCTGGGTTCTCTATTCTGCTCCATTTTCCTGTGTGTCTGTTTTTATGCCAGTACTATGCTGTTTTGGTTACTACACATCGGTAGTATAATTTTGTGTAATGTAATAATGTATGCTATGTAATGGGATTCCTCCAGTTTTATTCTTTTTGCTCAGGATAGCTTTAGCTATTCTAGGTCTTTTGTGATTATATATAAATTTAAGATTTTTTAGAGCTGTTGTATTTATTTGTGTGAGGAATGTCAATGGTATTTTTACAGAAATTGCGTTGAATCTGTAGCTTGCTTTGTGTAGCATGGACATTTTAATATTGATTCTTCCAATCCATAAACACAGAACACTGACTAATACAATCTGCAAATGGGTAGTTTGACTTCCTCTCCTCTTATTTGAATGCCTTTATTTTTTTCTCTTGTCTGATTGCTCTGGCCAGGATTTTCAATACTATGTTGAACAGGGCTGGTAAGAGAGGGCATCTTTGTCTTGTGCCAGTTTCCAAGAAAAATGCTTCCAGTTTCACCCATTCAGTATAAAGTTGGCTGTGGGTTTGTCATAGATGACTTTTATTATTTCAAAGCATGTTTCCTCAATACCTAGTATATGGAGAGTTTTAACATAAAGTGGTTTTGAATTTTAATGAAAGCTCTTTCTGCATCTATTACAATAATCATGAGGTTTTTGTCTTTCGTTCTGTTTGTATTATGAATCACATTTATTGATTTGCATATGTTGAACCAACCTTGCATCCCAGGGAAAAAGCCTACTTGATTGTGGTGGATAGGCTTTTTGGTGTGCTGCTGGATTTGGTTTGCCAGTATTTTATGGAGAATTTTTGCATCAATATTCATCAAAGATATGAAATTTTTCTTTCTTTTGCTTTTCTTCCAGGTTTTGATATCAGAAGGGTGCTGGCCTCATAGGATGAGTGAGGAAGATGATCCTCCTCAAATTTTTGGGAGTTTCAGTAGGAATGATACCAAATTCTTCTTTGCATATCCAGTAGAATTTGGCTGGGAATTCGTCTTTTCCTGGGCTTTTTAAAATTGATAGTCTATTTATTACAGATTCAATTTTGGAGCATGTTATTGGTCTGTTCAGGGATTCAATTTCTTCCTGGTTCAGTCTTGGAAAGGTGTACATGTCCAGGAATTTATCTATTTGTTCTAGGTGTTGTAGTTTTTTTGCATAAAGGTGTTCATCATATTCTCCGATGTTTATTTCTATTTCTGAGGAGCCAGTGGTAATATCCCCTTTGTTGTTTCTGATTGTCTTTGTTTGGATCTTCTCTCTTTTCCTCTATATTAGTCTAGCTAGTAGTCCACATTTAAAACAAAACCTACTCCTGGATTCATTAATCTTTTAGTTTCTTTGTGTGTGTCCTAATCTCAGTTTATCTCTGATTTTGGTTATTTCTGTCTTCTTCCAGCTTTGGGGTTGGATAGCTCTTCATTCTCTAGATGTTTTAGTTGTGATATTGAGTGGTTAAATTGAGATCTTTGTTACTTTTTGTGGTGGGTGTTCAGCAACATCAGTTTTTTTCTCAACACTGATTTAGTTGCATCTCAGGGATTCTGGTAGGTTGTGTCTTTGTTCTCATTACTTTCAAATAACTTTTTGATTGATGCCTTAATTTCATTATTCACACAAAAGTCATTCAGGAGTGAGTTATTTAATTTTTATGTAATCATATGGTATTGAGTATTGGTTTTCTCAACTTTTACCTCCAATTTTACTGTACTCTGGTCTCGGAGAGTGGTTGTCATAATTTGAATTCTTTTATAATTTCTGAGAACAGTTTTATGTCGATTAAGTGGTTGATTTTAGAGTATGTGCCATGTGGCAATGAGAACGTATATGTTGTTGTTTTTGGTGGAGAGTTCTGAAAGTGTCTGTTACATCCATTTGATCCAGTGCTGCATTCAGATCTTGAATATCTTGTTAATTTTCTGCCTTAATAATCTAATATTGTCAATGGGTTGTTGAAGTTTTTCACTATAATTGTGTAGGAATCTAAGTCTTTTTAAAGACCTCTAAGAACTTGCTTTATGAATTTGGGTGTTCCTGTGTTGGGTGTGTATATATTTAAAATGTATATATTTAAATATGAATACATATATTCTTGTTGAATTTAACCCTTTAGCATTTTGTAATGCCTTTTTGCCTTTTTAAATCTTTGTTGTTTTAAAGTCTGTTTGTCTAAACTTAGGGTTGCAACCCATTCTTTCTGCTGTTTTCCATTTGCTTGGTAGATTTTTATCCCGTCATTTTCAGCCTATGAAACTGATTGCATGTGAAATGAGTCTTGATGACAGCATATCATTGGTTCTTTGTTCTTTATCCAGTTTCCCACTGTTTGCCTTTTAATTGGAACATTCAGCCCATTTACATTCATAGTTAGTGTTGATATGTGTGCATTTGATGCTGCCATTATAATGGTAGCTGCTTATTATGCAGACTTGTTTGTGCGCAACTGGTCTGTATACCTCAGTGTGTTTTTTTAGTGGCTAATAAAGGTTTTTTTCACCTATATTTAGTTCTTCCTTCAGGAGCTCTTGTAAGGCATGTCTTGTAGTAATGAATTTCCTCAGCATTTGCCTGTTTAAAAAGAACTTTATTTCTCCTTTACTTATGAAGCTTAGTTTGGCCAAATACGAGATTGTTGATTGGAATTTATTTTCTTCAAGGAGGTTAAATATTGGTATTGGTCTCTTCTGGCTTGTAGGATTTCTGCTAAAAGGCGTACTTTTACACTGATAATCTTTCCTTTGTGGTTGACCTCCCTTTCCTCTCTAGCTGCATTTGACATTTTTTCTTTTATTTCATGCTTGAACAATCTGATAACTATGTGTTTTGGTGATTATTATATTATGAAGTATCTTACTGGAGTTTTCTGCATTTCCTAAATTTGAATGCTGGCCTCTCTAGCCAGCATTCCCCAGGTTGGGGAAGTTCTCATGAATGATATCCTAAAATATGTTTTTCAAATGGCTTCCATTCTCCCCACCTGTTTCATGAACACCAGTGGGTCATACCTTTGGTCTCTTTACATAATCTTATATTTTTCAGAGGCTTGGGGGTTTTTATTACTCTTTTTTATTTCTGTCTGTATGTCTTACTTCACATAAACAGTCTTCAAACTCTGAGATTCTTCCTTAGCTTTGTCTATTCTACTATTAATAGTTGTGAATTTCTTATAAAAAAATTTAGTGTGATTTTTTTAGCTCTCTCAGGTTAGTTATGCTCTTAATACTGGCTCTTTTGTCTCTCAGCTCCTGTATCATTTCATTATGATTCTTAACGTTTTTGAATTGAGTTTCAAGTTACTTCTGCATTTTAATGATCTTTATTTCTATTCATATTCTGAATTTGATTTCTGTAATTTTAGCTATCTTGGACTGATTTATAACCTTACTGGAGAGGTACTGTGACCATTTGAAGGAAAAGAGGAACTCAGGTTTTTTGAGTTGTCAGAGGTTTTGTGCTTGTTCTTTCTTATCTTTCTGGGGTGATATTTCTTTAATATTTGAAGTTGTCAACTTTTGGATTTTTCCTTTTATTCTGCTTGATGACCTTAAGGGTTTAATTGTGTTATAAGGTTGGCTCAGTCAAGTGGTTTTGTGTGTATTCATGCAGGCGAAGGTGGCTGCTCAGGGCTGAGGAGAGTATGCTGTTTTTTGTGCTTAGTTGTACTCAAATGACAGTGTTGACAAAGGAGCAGGGTGCTGGTGTTGTGGGGCAGATGGCCTCTGTTTCCCCCAAGATTCTGTCTGCAGTGGTGGTATAGCAGGAGAGGGGGCCTGGAGTACACTCCTACCAACAGCAGTGCCAGGGCAGAATGCATATGCACATGTGCACTGACAGGACAGGGAAAGCAAGATCCTTCCATGCACACACACACACACACACACACACACCAGCATAGTGATGTGTGGGGTGGCAATGGGCCTTGGGGGGAAGCTGCAGTGAGGAGAGGCAGCAGGCAGGCTGATGCCTGGATGGGGTCACCCCACTGGAGCTGTCTACTAGTCAGACATGATCTGCCAGTTCAGGATCTATGATGCAGGCCCCCAGGGTACTCAAGGCTGCACTGCAAGCATGCAGGGCCGAATTGGGGTCGCAGGAGAGGCCAGCACACCAACGCAAGCTCAGGTCAAAACAGCCCCATCTGATGGGCCACCACCCTGCAGACTTTTTGTCCAAAATTTCCCCTAGGGCTAACGTCTCTTATGGGAGCAAGTTAAGCTTATTGGTGTGGGCATCCCTGGACATGCTTCACTACACATGTTCCCACAATAAACCCTCTTGGCTGTGCACTGGCTGGTGTGCTGCCCCTGTCACTTCTCTAAGCAGCTCTTCCTTTCAACTCATTTTCCATGATGGTCAGAGGGTCTCTGCCAGTGGGATTCCAGAGGCCAGTCAGGAAAGCAGGTAGCTCCTTGCCACTTAAACTCACCTGTTTTTCTCAGAGTCACTGGGGGCCAGAAATCAGTTCCACTGTGCTTTAGCCCTGTGCAGGGTTCCCAGCTTCTGAATCTTAAGTTCAGATGTTGTGTCTTTCCTCCATCACTATCAGTACCTGCCCTCGGTTAAGAGTGTGCCAGTCATCCTGGTCCCTTGGTGTCAGCTGTTCCACCTTGGTTTGTCTATTCAGCCATCTTGCTCAAATACACAAAGTCTTATAAATCAATAATAAATAGACAATTGACTACTTGAAAAATGTGCAAGGAATTTGAATTAAAAATTTCTACAGATAAGAAGCAAAATTTGTCATTAAATTTAAAATATGTGACATTATTAGTTTAGAGAAATGCAAATCAAAAGCTCAATGACATACTTACTAGAAGACCTGTAAAAGGCAATAAAAAAGGTTGCCAAAGATATCAAAAATATGAAAGCCTCACACATTGTATGTGGGAGTGTAAAAAACAACCGATTTAAAGAACAATTTGGCAATTATTCAAAATGCTATAAATAGTATCACCATATGACTGAGACATTTTACTCTGTTACGTACTCAAAAGAAATGAAAACCTATGACTACACAAAGAATCAGATGTAAATGATCAAAGGAGCAGTATTTGTAATAGCCCAAAGGGGATAAAACCAAAATATCCATCAAATAATAACAGAAAAAATAACGTGTGGTGTGTCCATACAATAAAATACTATGTGCCAAACAAAGAAAATGAAGTAATAATACCTGCTATGTCAGGAAAAAACCTCAAAATCACTAAAGTAAGTAAAATAAACCAAATGCAAAAGGGCAGATAATTTATGATTTCACTTAAAATAACTTTTAATAAAAGGCTTATATATAAAAACAGGCTAATGATTGCCTATGACCAGGGTAATGAAATCAGTAAGTACAAAAGAGATTAATTTCTTTTTCCATAGTGATAAGGTGATTTCAAAATTAGATTGTGGTTATGGGTGTCTGTAAATACACTTTAAGAACTTGGAATTGTACACTTAAAACATGTGATGGTTTTGTTATAAGATTATATCCCTCTAAAATGTTTCCAAATGAAACTGTTGACTTTTGGAGAACTAAGTCACAGACTGTAAAACCAAACCCATTTATTGTTCATCTCAAGGCATGTTAAATAAAGAGGAAAAGACAAAGATATAGTTATAACATTAAAATCTTCATGGCAAATAGTTATAAGAAAAAAATTACAATTGTAAAATGTATTAATAGACATAAATTACCTGCTTAGATTTACCAGGCCAGAAATGTAAATTAAATAATAGTACACTATTGAAGACCACTCTGAGTCACTGATTATTAGAAACTTGTTATGATGTCATCATAAGGTTAAAATATTCCTTATCAAAAATGACTCACAGCAAAAATGTTAAATAAAGTGTGTTAGTGGCACCCCTGTCCACAGTTGCTGGTACTTTTAGTGTATGGCCAATTAGAAAGCTGCTCTTTTGTCCCTCATTTGTAACCAATTTCAACACTCAAATTCAATATTGAACTCCTAAATTTATTGATAAAACATGTGAGAAGATGTTTAAATTATATATTTAAAAGATATTATGAAAATAAAAAATCTTAGCAAACATAGGGAGAATTATAAACTAACATTTATCATACATACCCACCACAAGGCTTCAGCAATTCTCACATTTTTTATCTTTCATTTTTAATTATCAACTTCAATTATTCTGGTAATATTTTCAAGTAAGCATATTATGTTGTCAGTTTGTAGAAATTTGAGTACCTATATCTAAGAAATAAAAAGAAAAATAAAAATAGTACTATAAAATCTAAGTAAATACAAGTATTTTCTAATATTGTACTAAAGAGTTTCTTGATTCTTTACGTGCAAAACAGTAGAACTTAGCAACCTCCAAGACTTTATGAGAAATAACAATTTAAGACTAATATTTATCCTGGAGACTCAAAGTGACTATAAATAAATATATCTTTAGTTAATAAAGCTTAAAAATAAAGTATTAATAAAAACACATTTTGAAGATGGCTGACACCTTTGTTACTAGACATGGGGCTTGTGCTGTAAATAACTAGTTTAAAAGTCCATGGAAAAGGGATTTTCAACCAAAAAGTCTATAGAAAACAAAAAATTTTGGTTTTTCTGAACTCAGGATGTGAGGCCAGCTTTTAAAGCACTGAATTTAAAAAGCCCTCAAGACCCTAAGCTTGATAAGCACGTCACCAGCAGGTCTCATTTTTCAGCTCTGTGCACCAGGTGGCATGTCTAGCAAAATGTCCCCTCTCATGTCAGGTTTTTTCTATGAACTCAGAATGACCACTGTCCCTTAGTATGCAGCCCTGCAGTGGACCCAAAAATGACAATCAATCAGGTCCAGAGTTGCTCATTATGGCCTTTCCAGAATGTAATTATCTAAGGACAATTCTCCCCCTTGTAAAATTAAGAAAGTATCAGAATATTTGCCTAATTTTTGATAACATCATACTGTGAGCCACAAAAAAGCAAGAATTTAAAATGTAAGGGATTATCTGGATCCTAGGGCACAGAAATACACCTCAAATAGAATAGTTTCACACACGATTTTATATGTGGACTTCCTGTGTGGAAGAAAAGAATGTGGGGGTCAATAGTAGAGAAGTCTGTATGTAGTGGAATTTTAAGAAATCAGAGAGGCCGATGGGGTTCAGGAGGGTATTTATTAATTATTTAGGTGCACTGGTCCAGTGGATTAACATCCAAAGAATGAGTCCTGAACAAAGAGTTAAGTTACCTTTTAAGCATTTCATGGGTGGGGAGAGATTTGTGCAGGGAGAATCATACTACAGAAGCAAGAAACAAAGACAGTTATTCAATTGAGACATGCATTACATTATTTCTTACTTTTCAAGGAAAAACCTGTTTTGTGACTTGAATTTATCTGTCTAGTGACCTTGCAGCTTCACAGCTTGGGAAACAGGGTCTTCACAATCCCTGGGAAAGGAGGAGAGATAAGGATCACTAGCCACAGAAAAACAGGCAGTTAGTTTTTAAAGGACTCCAGCTCTTACTCTTTCTCAACAGAAGTTGGGTTTTCTTACACACAAGTGAGTTTCTGCTTACACACTCTTTAATCTCTTATAATTCCTGTTCCATTCTCCCCATTGGTGCTTTTTATAACAGAGGTGTTAATAGAAAGCACCATTATTTGCCAAGTCTTCATGGAGCTGAGCTTTTTCTTCTTCTGGCGGTGGCTGATATCTGGTTAATGCATCAACTGTACAGACTGTACAGTAGTGTTTTGGGCTACCATTGCCTCCATAGTTGACTGAATACTCCTAATAAACAGAGACAAAAGGCAAGGGAGGATAAGGCAGATGCAAAGAATAAGCAAGAACCTACTAATGAGGGTTTAGAATTTTTCAAATGCTGAGAACCATCCTCCAAACAAGGAATCCGGGGACTACCTGGATCAAGTCTGAAGTGGAACCTGGGCCAACTTGTGCATTCTAGCTGTAATTTTTATGACCACTAATATTGATTTCTTGGCTATTGATTTCTAGGCAACAGTTGGTTAAATTAAATTTTCTACATATTCCTCCTTCGGAGGATAAGAGATAATTTAAAGCCAGCCTATTTTGATATATAGCATTTCCTTTTTGTGTTGCTTGTATTGCCAATAAATCTAGTGCCCTCGATATTTCATTGGTTATGATTTGAAGGACTGCCTGCAACTTCATGATGCGGCTGAGGATATAGATTATGGTGCAGTACCCTCATGACCTGTCTTGCACCTAGGTAGCTGGCCCATAGCATGTCATGATTCTTTCAGGAGGTCATTTATTATCTTTTTAGTCTCCTGTGTCCACATCTTTTTTGATATTTTTGTTACTTTTGTGATTATGCTTTTTCTAGTTCTTCTTTTATTTTTATTATAAACTGGATATTCTAAGAATTTCCCTTGCTTTAGAGGAATTAGAAAGAAGGATGGCTTGATTGCTTTTAACAGACATGTCCCTGCCCATTTTGCTGGCAGTTGCCAATATGCCCATGCTCCACAGATCCAATATAGGCCAGAGGGTGCCTTTCAAGCATTTGAATCATCTACCTGATGCCAAGTGCAGCTTAGAGTAAGGAATCCAGAGAAAGTGTTTGGATCTGGTAAGTAGGAGTCATTCTGGGCATTTCTTCATAGAGTTTTGTTTTTAGTCTCGTAATAATACTGTTGCCCTAGGAAGGTTGTTTTTCCTACTGCGTCTGTGAAAGCCTTTCCCCATCGAGTGATACAGTACTTTCCAGTTATGGAGATTTTTAACAATCAAACACTGGCTGAGGCTGTTGGTTCACTGGCAGGGTTAAGCAAAGTGAAGTTATCTTGTGGCATTAATTCCTTTGCCTCCCATTGCCACTCATTCTCCATATTAGTTTCTCTACATACATAGCATGAAGAAATTTTTAAGCTGCCATCTGTGTTTTCAGCTAGTTGAGCAAATAAGTTTTTGGTTGATGGGGGAACCTCGGGCACTGGCTGATCAAAATGCTTACAGAATGACTTGGTATTGAGGGGTTGGATGCATTTGAGTCCTTATAGTATTTTTGACAATTAGTAGTGGAACTCCAAGACCTGCTCCTTGTCTATCAACTGGTAATAGTGCTGTCTGTCCTGTAGACCAAAAAGGTAGCTCTGGCTTTAAGATAGTAAAATTTAAAGGATCGCATGTCCTTGTCTTACAATCTGGTTTTTAGGATTATGAACATACGTGGCATGGCAGTCATCAAAGAAGAAATAGGCCCTTTTTAGAAGGGTGGGATTTCTTTGGTTTGAGCTATAAGCTTTCCTTCTGTTTCTCCCTCTGATATAATATTTACCTCAAAATAGAATTAATAGGGTAAGAGCCCAGGCTCATAACATACATATAGCTGATTATTTCCTCAGTCACAGACTGAATAGGTGGTCTGGTTGTATATGCATATTCCTAATTTGCTTCCTGTACATTCATAGTAGGTATGGTACAGTAGAGTTTTAACTGTGGTATTTTTTATCCAGGTAATGTGTACACAGCATGGACATCCTTCAAGAGATTTATCCCCTTTCAGTATAAGCATAAATGGTAACAACATTGTTGTATGTAATAGAAACATGCTTACACTACACATGGGCACAAAAACTTTCCTCTGGGCATAGACATTTGCAGCATTTGCAGTAATAACATAACAACGGAACAATCAGTATTGACAGAATTGTAACTATGGTTATAAATTGTATTCACATTTACTTATCTGGACATGGTCCTCTTAGCTTCGGCTGTGTGTACACTAGTCAGCTTCCGGGATGTGACTAGAGCAGAGTTTGAAGAATCCTTAAGCTTCAGCCATGCTTAGACTGACCAGCCTCCAGTGTGGTCAGAGCAGGGCGGTTGTCCTTTTTACCGGTGGCTGAGATTTGCCATAGGGCTATTCGAGTGGGGCAATCTGGGTCTTGTTGGCTAATCCACAGGTTGTCATCACGACTCGCTACTGTCACTGGTTTTAGATGGCTATGGTGAATCCAAGGTGTGGCACCTGCAACTTTAACAGCAGTGGGAGTAGACATGATTACAATATGGCGCCTATCGTATATGGGTCCTAGAGTGGTTGAATTCCATTTTTTACCTAAACGAAGTCCCTAGGTTTGAAAGGGTGTACTGGGTCTGTTAGACTTATAGGCATTTTTTTACATACTTAACCATGCATTTTAGTATAGCCATACTTAAAGCCTGCATTTGCCTTCTTAAAGTTAGTTTTCCCAATTTACAGAGATTACCCTGAATCTGATTTTTCTGGGGGGTGGGCAGCTGAACAAAATCTCAGAGGGCGAATACTCAGTTTTTTGGTGGGGGTGCACCTGACTCATAAGAGGACCATGGGCAAGACCTGATATTACTTCAGATGAGTTTTTCGACAAAATTTCTTCAACAGCTGCTTGAGTGTCCAGTTTATGCTCTCCACTTTACCTGAGATCTGCTACCTGTAGGCTGTATGTTATTTCCATTTTATTTTTAATAGTCGAGTTAAGTCCTGAACTATTTTAGCCACAAATGTTGGTCCATTCTCTGATCTTAGAGTTAGAGGCAGCCCAAATCTGGGAACAATGTCTCTTAACGCCTTGGTCACGTCTAGTGCCCTCTCTGTCCTGGTGGGAAAGGCCTTGAGCTATCCTGAAAAGGTGCAAATGAACACCAATATGTACTGATAGCCCCCGTCTCAGGGTCATTCAGTGAAGTCCATTAGCAGTTTTTCACAGGGCATGGCTCCTTTTTCCTGAACTCCCATGGGCCGAGTAGGATCTTGTCGTGGATTGTTCCGAGTGTAAGTTAAACACAGTTTACAAATGGCCCGAGTAATAGCAATGAGCCATGGCAGATAAAAATGATGCCTTAATAATGTCTTTATTTTTTTTTTAATCTGAGTTCGGTGGTGGAATTGTTTTACAAATCTGGGGGTCACCATTTCAGGTATGGCTAGCCTCCCATTGAAGAATTTGTATTATCCTCTTTCAATGTAGTTCTTATTTTCCTGGGGAAGCCAAGCTCTGTTATTTGGAGTGAAGATTGGGATCTCCAGGAGGGGAATCTCCGGGAGGAGAGGCATAGCTAAGGCATCTTCTTTAGGTGGAGTTGTCATTGCAGCCTTCTTTGCCTCTTTGCCTTCGTATCTTTTTTAGCCCTTAGTGTTCTTGCTTTTTGCTGCCTCTTGCAGGACTTCACTACCGTCACTTTTGGGGCCCATACAGCGTTTAAGAGCTGTAGGATTTCTTCCTTGTACTTTATTTCTTTGTTTCCGCAGTTAAAAGTCTTCTTTTTTTCTTTGTAAATAACCTTATGAACATGCAAAGTGGCAGAAGCATATTTGGAACCTGTATAAATATTGGTCTTTTGGTCTTTTGCTAGCCAGAGAACTCTTGTCAGAGCTCTTAGTTCTGCTTTCTAATCAGAAGTTTCTGTAGATGAAGACTGCACCTCTACTGTTGAGTCTAAAGTCACCACTGCATACACAGCTTGGCGGGCTCCTTTTAGTATGAAACTGCTTCCATCAGTAGAATATTCAATGTTTGGGTCCCTGAGGGACTGATCTGTCAAATCTCTCTGGCTTGAGAACACTTCATCTACCACGTCCACACCACAATGAAACGGTCCTCCTGGCACTGACTCGATGAGAGTAAGGTAGCCGGATTTAGGGTATTCACAGTCTCTAAAGTTAGTTTACTAGCTTCCTGCACCAGTACGGCAGTGGCTGCTAGTGCTTTAAGACAAGGAGGCCATCCAAGTGCAACAGAATCTAATTGCCTGGATAAATATGCCACCAGGCGATGCCATGACCTTATGGCTTGAGTCAGAACCCCTATGGCCTCCCTTTCACTTGTGGACATACAAGAAGAAAAGCTTGATTAGTTAGATCTGGCAGTCCTAAAGCTGGGGCCTGAGTCAAGGCTTCTTTGATTTCTTTAAAATCCTTCTCCTCTTTGGCCTCCTAGAGGAGGGGCTCCTTTTTTCCTCCTCTTAGTGGCTTGGTATGATGGCTTGACCATGAGCAAGAAATTTGGGTTGTAAACGCGGCAGAACCTTGCTGCTCTTAGAAACTCTCTTACTTGACACCGGGTGGTTGGAGTAGAAAGTGCACAAACAGCCTGCTTTTTTTCAGGACTAAGCCATCTTTCCTCTTGGCTTATATAAAAGCTTAAATATTGACACTTTTAGAGGAGATTTGAGCTTTTTTCTGACACTTTTTATTCTGCCTTCTACAGCAGGTGCAGTGGTTCTTGGGTTTCTTCTGCGTGTAGTAGCCCTTGGCTGGTGTGTGTGTGTGATTTTTTGGTTCTGTTTTTTTGGGTTTTTTTGGTTTGTTTTTTGTTTCTTTTACTATTGCCCTGATCATTTTCATTATTTCTTTGACATTTATGCTTCCAGTGTCTTTCCTTTTGCACCATGCACATTAATCTCTCTCTAGCCTCGGCTGGCCTTCACACTCCTGTCCAGACTAGCCTTTTTCATGACTACGTTCACGCCCGCGTCCATGCCTCCTTGTAAAGCCAGCTCCTCTTCCCGGAAGGGCTGCTGCTAGTAAGTTAGCCTTTCTTAAGCCTGTGATCAGCCTTTTCCTTTGCCTCCTCATCTCGGTTAATTAACACCTTGGTTGTCACTTTAATAAGCTGAGTAGCATTCTCGCCTACGGAGCTTGTAACTTCTGCAATTTATGCCTGATATCTCCTTGGGTCTGCCTTACAAGTGCTGGATTCACCCTGCACTGATTTTTGAGTAGCCTCAGGGTTAAACGGAGTGTACAATAAAAATGCCTCACAAAGTCTTTCATAGAACTTGCTGTGCTTTTATCTGCACCCTGAAGCATGTCTGAGATTTTTAAAAATATTGATTGCCTTTTTCTTTTACCATCCTTTAGCCTTTGCAGATGGGCTTCTCGGCACCTTTGTAGGTGCTGAATCTGGACTGCATCATCTGGGTCCTAGTGGGGGTCCTCCTGTCCTCTTAAGAGGCATGAGCATATCTTATGCACGACCAGACCTGAGACGGCCTGCCTGATTTTCGCTCTCATTTCACCTTCTCGGGTGAGACTGGCAGCATGTATCCATTTGAACTTAACTCCTTAGGGACAGTTACCTTGGTAAAGGGGGTAGATTGGAATGTAAGGAGGAGCGGTCTCTATTCTTTTCTGTGGTTGTTACAAAACCGGTTTTTCTGCCTTTTCTGAGATTTTTTCATTTGTCTTCAGCTGCTGGGGCAGCTGATTTTACTTTCACTTTTGGCTGGGAGGTGCTACAAGCCTCTGTGTCTCCTTTTAACTCTGTAGCTGCCAGAGCAGCTGATTTTCTCTTGCCGTGAGCTGCGAGCATTCTACAGTAAACTGCTAGGCAGGGCTGCATTCATTTAGCCATGAGTCAATATAAAGAGTAGGTCTGAATGTCCTGGCTGTTCTCTGACCCTAGTCACCACCTTAAAACACACGGCCAATTTTTCTATAGTGCCTTTGGCAAGCCATCTGACACTAAAACAGGGCTATTCTAATTCACAGTATGTCCTTAACTTTTGAACACTCAGTTTCATCCTATAATCACTTCTAACTCTTTTTTTAAAATTCTTTATTATGCTTTTCAAAGGAGCCACTTTTGATGTTTTCACTCTCATTTCCTCTCTTGCAGTTCACTTTCACTCTGACTTTCACTCTTGAGTCCACCAGACCTGGTCCTATTGCGGGAGTTTCAGATGCTGCTTAGCCAGGACCATGCCTTCCCCTGTCGCAGACTGCTGCAGCTGTAAAGCTGGTACTATCAGCCATATGAAGCATCTTAGGTCTGATTTTCCCCACATTCGCCTCAGAGCACACAGCCACCACTAAGGGATCTGTGCCTCCCCATGTCGCTGCCCACATTGGCCTCTCCCAATGTAACAGGAAGAGCTGCAGACAAAACCCCTTGGACACTGAGTTAAAGAAAGAAGGTGTTTATTCACCTGGGAGCTTCAGCAAGACTTCTTTCCCAAGAGCTGAACCGTCCGAGTGAGCAATTCCTGTCCCTTTTAAGGGCTCACAACTCTAAGGGGGTCCGCATGAGAGGGTCACGATCTATTGAGCAAGCAGTGGGTATGTGACTGGGGGATGCATACACTGGTAATTAGAAAGGTACTGAACAGGACAGGGATCTTCACAGTGCATTTTTTATGCAAATAACCGATTAGGTCAGGGGTTGACCTTTAACTACCAGGCCCAGGGTGTGGCGCTGGGCTGTCTGCTTGTGGATTTCATTTCTGCCTTCTAGTTTTTACTTCTTCTTTCTTTGGAGGCAGAAATTGGGTATAAGACAATATGAGGGTTGGTCTCCTCCCTTATTTTCCCCCTTTGAGACTCTCACTCATTTTATTAGTGGGAGTTCTCACCTTCTTCCTCACTACCTATGTCTTCCTCTATCACAGATTGATAGTGATTCATGTAGTACACTCGTGCTGAAGCGTTCTGGTGAACTAGAGTTGCCATGAAAACTTTTACCACTTGAATGAGTACAGCTAGTAAGCAAGAGATCAGTAAGCAGGTTCCTATTACTACTATAGTTTCCATTATAAGAGTTTTAAATCCTTCTAGTGCCGGGAACCATTTTCAAACATGGCCTCAGTGTCAAATCGGTGCCACACCTGTACTGGCACATGTGCCAGTTTCATCATGTCTTTAACTATATCTTCGACTACTTGCCCCTGATCATCTATGTGCAGACAGCAAGTGGGCCTAATTACAGTCATTAAATTGGGCCTAATTACAGTCACAATCAATTTACTAAAATAACCAGACAGCAAGACAGGTTTCCAAACATTGGCAAATGTTTCAGGGAGAAAAAAATGCCCCACTAGAGAAGCATGGTTGTATCTCTGTGTGTACATACACACGGGGCCAGGCAGTTCTATGCATGATAGTCTGGGACTGTAAAAGTGACTATGCAAACCTTTACATTCTGTCACAGAACTTACAATTTAAAGTGAGCATCTTTTTCTGTGACTTAGAAATTGACTTTTTTTTTTTAGTTGGGAGCCACTTTTAGCAATTTTCCCTTTGTTGATACATAATAATAGTATATATTTGTGGTGCATGAGTGATATTTTGATACATGCATGCAATGTACAGTGATCAAATCAGGGTAATTAGAATATCCATCACCTCAAACATGGATATTATTTTCTTTGTGTTTGAAAAATTTCCTTTGTGTTGGGAGAATTTAAAGCCATCTCTTCTATCTATTTTAAAATATACTAAAAATTAGTGCTAACTGTAGTTATCCTACTGTGCTGTCAGACACTAGAAATTATTCCTCCTATGATAAAAAGTTTAGGCTGTATCCCATGGGTAGTAGGACACCACATGACTGAGTGGTCATCTGGGAAATTATCTGGATGACTTTGGAACATTCCTGGTTGAGCCAGGTGGCTGTTGCAACAAACTGTGGGGAAGCCCCTCCCCTAATGCCCCCTAAGCCAGCTGTCACTACATGGCAGGAAACCTCCAAACCTGAGGGCCCCAGGAAACAATGACAGTCCCCACTCACATGCAACTTGTGCTGTGCTCAGTGCCCTCCACATTGAGCCTGATCTAGCTTTACCCGAGGGCTGTGAGGTGGGACAATCAGTATCCCTTTATTTTAAAAGGCTCAGTGAAGTTTTGGGCTTAATGTGAGTGAAGTGATCCTAAAAGCTGACTCTGGGATCCCGGCTCCACCACTGACCAGTCCTGCAGGTGGCGAGAGTTGCCTCTCCTCCCCTCGATTTCATTTTGTCCTCTGTGAAGTGCAGCCGTGCTGATGACTCACATATCAGGGATACATGGGAACTGTCAATGAACGGAGTGCTCTACACAGTGCCTGGAGCTCAGAATGCAGATGAGGGAGGAGGGTGAGCCATAATTCTGAGGGAAGTCCCAACATAATTTAGCCCTTCCATCTAGTAGCCGGGCCCCAGTACAGAGTCCTATGTCAGTGACAGGGCAAACTGAGACCAGCTCAAACACAGCCTCTTCCTCAGCAGCAGGGCCCAACTAAGGCACTTGGTGTTTTGGTTCATTTCCTGCAGCTTCAATGTAAAGAATATTGTGAGACATTTGCTGGAACAACTGAAAATCAGAAGAAGAAGAGACAGCTCTTCTCCATCTCCCTGAGAGCTCTTCCCCAGAATGTGTTTATCCAGAGAGGAGGGGAAATATTTATTTTTCGTAAATAGTAAATGCTAGAGTCGAATATTATATGAAAATCTCATTCTACTACAAAATCGGAGTTGTGGTTGTGGTTCTTTTTATTTCACTTGTGTAAGCTTAAATGAGATACAGACTCTAACATTTCTCCTTGAATTATGAAATCCTAAAGAGTCGGCAGCATAATGTATGAGGAAGAAGAGAAAAGCAGTCATAGTTTCTGGCTGCCGGATAAGACACCCAGGTCCATTTTTCTCAGAGCATATGTTCATTTTAATATTAACCCAAGGAAAGAGTGAAGATAGATCATTCGAACTTGCAGAATTAATAATTTGAAGGTATTTTCACAAAGCATAGCGACAGTCTTGGAAATATAGATTTCTTTAAAAAGCAGTTGCAGAGATCAGGAGGATGAATACCTTTCTATGATTTTACAAAAAATAAATCAACTTCTGCTTCACTTGCTGAGGTTTCCTCTAAGCAACTATTAGGACATTGTTGTTTTTTCTTCCAACTCTGGAGTTGCATCAGGTCTATGTGGAAAAAAACATTATAAAATAAAATGACCAAAGTCAAAAGGAGAAGGCCAGGGAAAGTCTATTGACAATGGATGCAGGGCAGAAAGGAAGCTGCATTCTCAATCTTCTTCTGGTGTCCTGTGATTGAGCCTTTACCTTAGATGTAAATCCTCCCAGAGTTTTGTCTCTTACCTTAGAATTTCTATTCTTTTTTTAAGTTAGTTTCTTATCTAGAATGAAAGAATTGTAATGCCACTTTATGGCTACACCTGGGCCTTATTCTGTAAATATTTTTACTACCTATGAGGTAAAATTCCCAGCATTAGGGCAATTCTTTATCCAATTTTTTCTTTCTGAGACAGAGTCTTGCTGTGTCACCCAGGCTGGAGTACATTGGTAAAATCTTGGCTCACTGCGATCTCCACCTCCTGGGTTCAAGAGATTCTGCTGCCTCAGGCTTCTGTGTAGCTGAGATTACAGGCACCCAGCTTCATGTCCAGCTAATTTTTGTACGTTTAGTATGTTTAGCAAATTTTGTATTTTTAGTTTCACTATGTTTGTCAGGCTGGTCTTGAACTCCTGACCTCCAATAATCTGCCCGCCTTGGCCTTCCAAAGTGCTGGAATTACAGGTGTGAACCAATTCTTTTTGAGGAATAAATTACCTAAAGGTCCTCAAGCCTTTCTGTCAGGCATATCTTGGCCTTTTCTCTCTGACTGGGGTCCGATGAATCACAGGTGGGCACTATTTTTCTATATTCCCAACCAGTGATAATCCTTGCGCTCTTTATTTCTAATTAAAAGAAATCCAAAATGGAGATAGTTATTTGAGAGGTCTCTAAAGACAACTAGGAGGACATGAGGAGTTGAATTAATACTCATACACACCCAGGTGGAATTTTACCTGTTCGAACTGGGAAAATTACAGATGTCCTAAAAAGGCAACTGCATTTGACTTGGATTGTTTATACTGAGCCTGATCACAAACCTCCTGGAGAGAAAGCTGTGCTGAATTAAGCTGATGATTGCCTAGATACAGTCTAAGCTGGCAATCAAACATTGTCCATCATAGACTGTGCTAAAATCTTTCACTTGTGTAAACTTGCAGTAAAACTTTATAAGTCCCTCCCTAACCTCATCTGAATGGAACATGATATAGCTTCTTGCTAAATTTGTGTCTCCCAAATAGCAATTTATAAAAAATCATGATTAAAATGCCTTTTATTTTATTTTCCACAGGGTCTGTTTTACTCCCATGTTATAAAATGCTTTTCTCAAGAAAGCATAGAGCCCATTCTCTTCTCTAGAGAGAATCGCAGCCTTGCAAAAGAGACAACTAAAAATACATACATATAAGTATCAAGAATTTAAAACTCAAAATATTAAATATGTTACAAAAGTATATAAGCAATAGAATAAATAGGATGAATAGCAAAATGGATAAAATCAACTGTGAGTTGAAAGCCTGAAAGTTCAGGTGAAGGTGTTGAAAATGCTTCAGAAAAAACTAAAGAGATAAATATTTATAAAAATAAAGAGCTGGGCTCAGTGGCTCACACTTGAAATTTCAGCTGCTAGGGATGCTGAGGCCAGAGGATCAATTAAGGCCAGAAGTTTGAGACAAGCCTAAGCAAGACCTTGTCACTGAAAATGTTTTAAAAATTATTTTGACATTATAGCATGTAACTGTGGTCTCAACTACTTAGAAGGCTGAGGCAGGAGGATTACTTGAACTCAGGAAGTTGAGGTTACAGTGAACTATAATCATGCTACCGTACTCCAGCCTGGAGTGAGGCAAAATCTAGTCACATTAAAATAAAATAAAACAAAATAAAATAAAATAAAATAAAATAAAATAAAATAAAATATAATCTAGTCACGTTAAAATAAAGTACAATTATCAAGGACAAAAATAAAATTGTACAACTTGGCAATAGAAAAAAAATAGAGCATAGAGCAACTGGGGGAAAGGGGGTTGAAAGTATAATTTCCTTTTTATTTCCTTAGTTGGTCATTACTTAGACTTTTTCACTTAATTAAAATTTTCTTATACTTTGGTGCCCAGTTAACCCCAGAGCATTTTTAATTAATTGGTTTAGAGGTAGATACTCATATAAGCTTTCCACTGCAAATTACAAGAGCCAAATTTTAAATAAATGTTGGACCTCTAAATTTTCTATTTGCAATATTTAAGGAAATAAAAATTATAAAAAACACTTTGTAAAACATTTAGTATGTAACTGCTGTTTCTAATGTATAATAAATCCAATTATGGCAGAGACTCACTCTGTTGTTGAGAATCTCTCCATTATATGACTGCTGCTTGTGGTGCTTAAACCTCAGGAAGAAAGAATATATGAATGTCTGAACATTGCTTTAAAAAGACAATGTACATTTAATGTAGAGATATGTGACCAGCTTAGAAAGCTGCACTTTTTCCACAGCAGGCAAACCAGAGCCTGGATACCCCAGGGTCACAGCTCATGAGAACATAGGGCTGGACTGTGAGAAAACAAGAAGCAATTCGTGCAGAGGAGTTGACAAGACACCAACTGGGCTGAGAAAAAAGAGCTGATAGATTAATTTCCAAATTATACTACAAAACATACAATAAGCAGACCCCATAGCTTTATACATTAAAACCAAATGATGACAAAGAGTGAGGATTGCATTAAATTAAATTAGGAGCAACTAAAGACTGGTTTATGATCTTGAAACTTTAGTCACTCTCCATAGTTCCATCCCATGACCCGGTAATTATTTCCTGCTTTCTGCATGCCTTGGACACTGGTCCATTTCTGGCCCCAAAGTGTTCCTTTTTCTAATAAGAGTACTTACTTCATCTCTTAATACAATTCCTTTCCTTGCATACTGTGCCCCAAAGAAGAAATATTAAAAACTTTCCTGATGTTTTTCTGCTGCGGGGTTAATGGGCTCAGAGTGATGATAAGAACGGCCAATGAGTGTGTGGAGCCAGATAGTGCTTAAAATATGGACTTCAGTCCAGTGAAGTCTAACAAGATTGGCACCTGAGCACTCTTCTCTGAGACCTGAGGATGGACTCACTGAACCTGGAGCTACTAACGCAGCTGATACCCACATATATACACCACCTGTGTTCCTAGAAACTGGCCTTCCCAGCCCATCACAGCAAACACCAACACCAGCATGGAACGCTTGGGAGTCAGAGGTTTTTCTTGTCGTTGCTACTGCCATCATCCATGCCATAACCACTGTCCAGGGGCTCAAGAAGCTGCCCACCCACCTTGCTCACTGCTGACACCTGAGCAAATCACATGAAGGCCAAATAATTAGTCTTCCTGGACCTGTTAACACTGCTGCCAGCATAACTGCCTTGAGACCCAAAAGCAGGCATGGTAAGCTCACCACTGCCACCACTGGGATCCAATGACTAAACCTCTGGTGCCCCTATTCCCAGCAAAACTTTACCACAGCCTCTGCTAAAAACGATACCCTAAGCCACTGAGAAAGGTACAGACACCACTGATACTCTTTACAGCCAAAGAAATCATATAAAGACAGGCCGGGTATTGTGGCTCATGCCTGTAATTCCAGCACTTTGGGAGGCCAAGGCCAGTGGCTCGCTTGAGGCTAAGAGTATGATACCAACCTGGGGAACATGTCAAAACCCTGACTCTACTAAAAACACACAAATTTGCTGGGCATAGTGGTAGGCACCTGTAATCCCAGCTACTTGGGAGACTGAGGCACGAGAATCGCCTGAACTCAGAGGTGGAGCCTACAGTGAGCCGAGATAGTGCCACTACACTCCATCCTGGGCAACAGAGCAAGGTTCTATCTTAAAATATATACACATACAGAGTTTAAAGTCTGTGCTCTCCTCTCCTCAGCTGCCTTGTGACTGTGTAAGTGTATGTTTGGGAAGGGAGGGATAGGATGAGGACAGGCCAGCAGAGAGTCACCAGCACTGGCTAAAGGTCTCAGACCAAATTTTATACTCTTGACCAGGAGAAACTTCTCTGTTATTCTAATCACATTAAACTCAAGCATTTTCTTTTTTTCTTTCTTTTTTTTGAGAAATCACATCGAACTTCCAAAATTATAAAGTTGAAAATATGTAATAATTGACAATTGGAAACAAGAAAGAGGATTAGCTATAAAAATAACTCAGGACAATGTATTTATCATGAAAAGATGGTCTTGGTGGAAGAAAGTTTCATGCCCAGCCAGCCCATTCTTCAATATCTGCTAAAAAAAAAAAGAGCAAAGGGAACTTAAAGACATCATAGACTTGGAAATTTCGTCTCACAGTGCATTAAATTCCCAAATCACATGTGGAAGAGAAGAAGCTGCTGCATATTAGACTAACTAGTTTTACTGAATGTTGTCTGTTGATTTAAAAATTAATACTCTTATCAAGAGCAAATTGAAATACTGAAAGTTATTTACTAAACAGCAAAGAATATTTTCAGTATATAAAAAGATTTAAAAAAACGTTGACACCTTAACTAAATCTGACACAAATTTAAAAGGAAAAGTAACTAGAAAATGAAAGAAGCGTTGTACAAGTATGCGATGCACCCTCTGTTGCACCAACTGCTCCTGTTTGTTGAGTCCCCTCTTCTATTCTGCCTCCTCCATCTCCTTGCTGATTCCCCTTTTTGTCTATTTTAATTTCTCTCTCTATTCCTTTCTCAGGTCACCATGTCACATTCCTTTTGTGTCTTTTGATGTCCAATCTCACCGACACCACCTTCATTCTCTATTTTATCTTTACAAATGGTTAATTAGGCATAAAGAGGGAAAACACTCCTGGGAAGATACCTGAATCCTGGTGCACACTATCATTATCACTGTTTTTCATGTTGATGCTCATGTGTCTCTGCTTTCTCGACAGACTATTTAATCAGCAGACAGATCAACAGGCCAAAATTTCCACCATAGTTGCAAATTTGAATGCGGATGAATGGATTAAAACACATTCAAGTCTTGCAATGAACGGCATAATGTATGGTGGTATAATTCAGAGTGGTTACAGGGGAGAGTTAAAGATCATTGTATACAATATCACTCGAGAATCTTTTGCTGTAAAACTGCAGATGTGGGTTCCTCAATTTTTAGTGGTACCTTGTCAACAATTAACCCCTGAGGATGTCTCTGCCCCAACAGAGGCTACATACAGAACTGGGAGATTCAGACGCACTGGTACACGTAGCTTAAATCCTGGAGCCAAAATATGAGTACAGCGTCCATCACATCCTACTCCTATGGCTGGTGAACTTGTAGCTATGGGAGAAGAAACTGAAGGCATAGTACAGTTTCCTAAAGATGAAAAACAATATTATGTTCCCCTCTGTTTTGGTTATTACAGAGAATAACCTGTTTACTAATGGTCAGTACCTGTGTCTCTGTGTCTGATGCCAAGAATAAATTCATCATCTGCATAGCCACCACTGCAACAGAAGCCAACTGCAGTCAATGTTGGCTATGCGTGGAATTGCCAGAGGCCACCAAAAATGGGCTACGTTGGAGAATCGTCCCTGTACCTTACTGCATACCGAATGTTGTGTGTATATCCCTGACAATTCTCACACTACGACTCTCCTTGCACAGCCATGGTGGGTGTGGTTTTCATTAACTGTGCTTTTAATTCTCCTGTGCTTACACTGAATCTGTAATCTGTATAAAGTATGCTTTCCCCAAGTATCTGTAAGGGTATTTTCCTACAATTGAGTATCAAATTGAAGCCAAATTTGGAAGAAAAGTTAAATACTCAATTTTATCTCAATTGAACATGGACACAAACAATGGTCACCAAGTCCCGGAACAGGTTCTGTGAGTTTCTTCAGGCGTTCATCCACCAGTGTCTCAGAGAAATTTCTATTTTAATCTGTTCCTGTATGTTAGTTATTGAAAAACAACAGACAATCGCCAAAAATTTGACATTTTTGTGGTTTTTGAGCCCAGTAGTGAAGAGTCCTCGTTACCCGGCCTTATGCCAAAGAACTCCTTACAAAAAGAGCTAGGGTCCCAGATGGCACTAGAGCTTCCTGAGACCTCTCCCCATCTCTGCAGGGATGAGGGGCCAACTCTGTAGCCCAGGCTGTTGCTTCCCGGTCTGTTGATGAATCCTCCATAGTCTGGTGAGTGTAGTGTCTGACTCTGGAGCCCAGGCTATTGCTTCTCTGTCTGGTGATGCTTCCTCCATACTCTGTAGTCTGCTGTGTGTAAACATATGTATATATATATATATATACATATATATGTATATAATTTATACATATAACTGTAAATAAAAATAATTATATAATTATGTACATAATTATTTAAATAAATAAATGTAAATAAATACATATATAATTATATATATATAATATATATATTTATATATATAAAAAATATATATATTTTTTCCCTTCTCATATCAATTTGCTTATCATATCATTTACTTATTATATCTGTATTGCCATATAATTGAGACAAAAGATGTTTACCCTTAAAAGTATTGTGTGTGCCTTTTCTTCTTCCTCATGGATCTCCCATGCAGAACACATGCCTGACAAATTTTTATATTTTTAGTGGAGACTGGGTTTAGCCATGTTGGCCAGGCTGATCTCAAACTCCTGACCTCAGGTGATCCTTCCATCTCGGCATCCCAAAGTGCTGAGATTATAGGCATGAAACACCCAGCCAGGAGGAGGCATTTCTACAAAGAAAACATACAAATGGCAAACAGACATATAAATGTTGCTAAACATCATTAAACCTCAGAGAAATGCAAATCAGAACTACAATAAGACATTATCTCACTCCAGTTAAAATGTCTTATATCCCAAAGACAGACAATAACAAGTGCTGACGAGGATGTGGAGAAAACTTTAGTGCACTCTTGGTGGGAATGTAAATTAGTATAACCACTATAAAAAAGTGTGGAGGTTCCTCAAAAAGCTAAAAATTGAGCTGCCACAGCTACAATGCAACCCAACAATCCCAGTGATGGGCATTGACACAAAAGAAAGAAAATCGGCTTGTTGCTGCACTGTTTACAATAGCTAAGATTTGAAAGCAAACTGTCTACAAATGAATGAATGTATAAAAAAAGTAGTACATATATACATTGGAGTAGTATTCAGCCATAAAAATGAGATTTTGTCTTTTACGACAACGTGGATAAAAGAGAAGAGTATGTTAAGTGAAATAAGCCAGGCACAGAAAGATAAACACTGTGCGTTCTCACTTATTCGTGGGATGGAAGAATTAATACAACTGAATTCACGGACATAGAGAGCAGAAGGATGGTTTTCAGAAGCTAAGAAAGACAGTGGAGGCTGGGGGAAAGGTGGGGACTGTTAATGTGTACAAAAAAATAGAATAAATAAGACATATTATTTGATAGCACAACGAGATGACTCTGGTCAATAATAATGTAATTGTACATTTTAAACTAGCTAAGAAGGAATAATCAGATTTTAACCCAAAGAATAAATGCTTGAGTGGGTGGGTATCCCATTCTCTATGATGTGATTATTATGCATTGCGAGACCGCATCAAAACATCTCATGAACCCCATAAGTATATACACCTACAATGCATCCTCAAAAATTACAAATTAACTGAAGTAAATAAAATAAAACTATTTAAAAATAAAATATCATAACATTAACTAGCCCCAGAAATATAAGATTTTAATGAAATAAAAATGCCTCTATAATAATCAAACAGTGAGAAGAAAGTCACACTTTACTCCTATTTTTGTTTCTGATCTATCTTCTATCTAGTTTCAAGTTGTAGAATTTTCTTTTTTCATTTCTAATTAAATTTTATTTTATTTTATTTTTTTATTATACTTTAACTTTTACGGTACATGCGCACAACATGCAGGTTTGTTACATATGTATACATGTGCCATGTTGGTGTGCTGCACCCAGTAACTCGCCATTTAACATTAGGTATATCTCCAAATGCTATCCGTCCCCCCTCACCCTACCCCACAACAGGCCCCGGATTGTGATGTTCCCCTTCTTCTGCCCATATGTTCTCTTTGGTCAATTCCCACCTATGAGCGAGAACATGCGGTGTTTGGTGTTTTGTGCTTGGATAGTTTGCTCAGAATGATGGTTCCAGCTTCATCCATGTCCCTATAAAGGACATGAACTCTTCATTTTTTATGGCTGCATTTTGTTCCATGGTGTATATGTGCCACATTTTCTTAATCCAGTCTATCATTGTTGGACATTTGGGTTGGTTCCAAGTCTTCGCTATTGTGAACAGTGCCGCAATAAACATACTTGTGCTTGTGCCTTTATAGCAGCATGATTTATACTCCCTTGGGTGTATACCCAGTAATGGGATGGCTGGGTCAAATAGTATTTCTAGTTCTAGAGCCCTGAGGAATCGCCACACTGACTTCCACAATGGTTGAACTAGTTTACAGTCCCACCAACCGTGTAAAAGTGTTTCTATTTCTCCACATCCTCTCCAGCACCTGTTGTTTCCTGATTTTTTAATGATCGCCATTCTAAGTGGTGTGAGATGGTATCTCATTGTGGTTTTGATTTGCATTTCTCTGATGGCCAGTGATGATGAGCATTTTTCCATGTGTCTTTTTGCTGCATAAATGTCTTCTTTTGAGAAGGGTCTTCATATCCTTCACCCACTTTTTGATGGGGTTGTTTTTTTCTTGTAAATTTGTTTGAGTTCGTTGTAGATTCTGGATATTAGCCCTTCGTCAGATGAGTAGATGGCACAAACTTTCTCCCATTCTGTAGGTTGCCTGTTCAGTCTGATGGTAGTTTCTTTTGCTGTGCAGAAGCTCCTTAGTTTAATTAGATCCCATTTGTCAATTTTGGCTTTTGTTGCCATTGCTTTTGGTGTTCTAGACATGAAGTCCTTCCCCATGCCTATGTCCTGAATGGTATTGCCTAGGTTTTCTTCTAGGGTTTTTACGGTTTTAGGTCTAACATTTAAGTCTTGAATCCATCTTGAATTAATTTTTGTATAAGGTGCAAGGAAGGGATCCAGTTTCAGCTTTCTACATACGGCTAGCCAGTTTTCCCAGCACCATTTATTAACTAGGGAATCATTTCCCCATTTCTTGTGTTTGTCAGGTTTGTCAAAGATCAGATGGTTGTAGATATGTGGCATTATTTCTCAGGGCTCTGTTCTGTTCCATTGGTCTATATCTCTGTTTTGGTACAAGTACAATGCTGTTTTGGTCACTGTAGCCTTGTAGTATAGTTTGATGTCAGGTAGCGTGATGGCTCCAGCTTTGTTCTTTTGGTTTAGGATTGACTTGGCAATGAGGGCTCTTTTTTAGTTCCTTATGAACTTTAAAGTAGTTTTTTCCAATTCTGTGAAGAAAGTCTTTGGTAGCTTGATGGGGATGGCATTGAATCTATAAATTACCTTGGGCAGTATGGCCATTTTCACGATATTGATTATTCCTACCCATGAGCATGGAATGTTCTTCCATTTGTTTGTATCCTCTTTTATTTCATTGAGCAGTGGTTTGTAGTTCTCCTTGAAGAGGTCCTTCACGTCCTTGTAAGTTGGGTTCCTAGGTATTTTATTCTCTTTGAAGCAATTGTGAATGGGAGTTCACTCACGATTTGGCTCTCTGTTTGTCTGTTATTGGTGTATAAGAATGCTAATGATTTTTGCACACTGATTTTGTATCCTGAGACTTTGCTGAAGTTGCCTATCAGCTTAAGGAGATTTTGGGCTGAGATGATGGGGTTTTCTAGATATACAATCATGTCATCTGCAAACAGGGACAATTTGACTTCCTCTTTTCCTAATTGAATACCCTTTATTTCCTTCTCCTTCCTGATTGCCCTGGCCAGAATTTCCAGCATTATGTTGAATAGGAGTGGTGAGAGAGGGCATCCCTGTCTTGTGCCTGTTTTCAAAGGGAATGCTTCCAGCTTTTGCCCATTTAGTATGATATTGGCTATGGCTTTGTCAGAGATAGCTCCTATTACTTTGAGATACGTCTCATCAATTCCTAATTTATTGAGAGTTTTTTGCAGGAAGAGTTGTTGAATTTTGTCAAAGGCCTTTTCTGCATCTCTTGATATCTCAAGATAATCACATGGTTTTTTTGTCATTGGTTCTGTTTATAAGGTGGATTACGTTTGTTGATTTGTGTATGTTGAACCAGCCTTGCATCCCAGAGATGAAGCCCACTTGATCATGGTGGATAAGCTTTTTGATATGCTGCTGGATTCGGTTTGCCAGTATTTTATTGAGGATTTTTGCATAGATCTTCATCGGAGATATTGGTCTAAAATTCTCTTTTTTTGTTGTGTCTCTGCCAGGCTTTGGTATCAGGATGATGCTGTCCTCATAAAATGAGTTAGGGAGGTTCCCTCTTTTTCCATTGATTGGAATAGTTTCAGAAGGAATGGTACCAGCTCCTCCTTGTACCTCTGGTAGATTTTGGCTGTGAATCCATCTGGTCCTGGACTTTTTCTGGTTGGAAAGCTAATTATTAATTATTGCCTCAATTTCAGAGCCTGTTATTGGTCTATTCAGAGATTCAAATTCTTCCTGGTTTAGTCTTGGGTGGGTGTATGTGTCGAGGAATTTATCCATTTCTTCTAGATTTTCTAGTTTATTTGCATAGAGGTGTTTATAGTATTCTCTGATGGTAGTTTGTATTTCTGTGGGATCGGTGGTGATATCCCCTTGGGTTTAATAAACAGATAACATCAAACATTCAACTAATCCAATAAAAAGAAATTTTATTCATTTGAGAATGTGTTTTCCAGAGCATACTTATATATTACGTTTTAACTTCATAATTTATATTTTATAAAAACATAACTAATTCAAGTTAATCTTCTCTAATTTTTAATTCAATTGAATTTTTATCAGGATCACTATATTTAAACAAAAATTACCTGAATTTTTCACATCATAATTTATAGATTCTGCTTCTACAAATTGTCTGTAGGGACCATTATTTCTACACGGTCTACTTTCCTGGGTTAAGTGGTGGATACCCAAATGTTTTTTGGAATAATGTTTTCTTATATCAGTTTTTAGTCAGTGATACGTTGCACCATGTTTAATTTTAAGCATTATCAGTTTTCTTTTTTTTTTTTTATTGATCATTCTTGGGTGTTTCTCGCAGAGGGGGATTTGGCAGGGTCACAGGACAATAGTGGAGGGAAGGTCAGCAGATAAACAAGTGAACAAAGGTCTCTGGTTTTCCTAGGCAGAGGACCCTGTGGCCTTCCGCAGTGTTTGTGTCCCTGGGTACTTGAGATTAGGGAGTGGTGATGACTCTTAAGGAGCATGCTGCCTTCAAGCATCTGTTTAACAAAGCACATCTTGCACCGCCCTTAATCCATTCAACCCTGAGTGGATACAGCCCATGTTTCAGAGAGCACAGGGTTGGGGGTAAGGTCACAGATCAACAGGATCCCAAGGCAGAAGAATTTTTCTTAGTACAGAACAAAATGAAAAGTCTCCCATGTCTACCTCTTTCTACACAGACACGGCAACCATCCGATTTCTCAATCTTTTCCCCACCTTTCCCCCCTTTCTATTCCACAAAACCGCCATTGTCATCATGGCCCATTCTCAATGAGCTGTTGGGTACACCTCCCAGACGGGGTGGTGGCAGGGCAGAGGGGCTCCTCACTTCCCAGTAGGGGTGGCTGGGCAGAGGCGCCCTTCACCTCCCGGACGGGGCGGCTGGCCAGGCTGGGGGCTGACCCCCCCACCTCCCTCCTGGACAGGGCGGCTGGCCGGGCGAGGGGCTGACCCCCTCACCTCCCTCCCGGATGGGGCGGCTGGCCGGGCGGGGGGCTGACCCCCCACCTCCCTCCCGGACGGGGCGGCTGACTGGGCGGGGGGCTGACCCCCCCACTTCCCTCCCGGATGGGGTGGCTGGCCGGGCAGAGGGGCTCCTCAGTTCCCAGTAGGGGTGGCCGGGCAGAGGCACCCCTCACCTCCCGGACGGGGCGGCTGGCCGGGCGGGGGGCTGACCCGCCCACCTCTCTCCCCCCCAGAAGGGGTGGCTGGCCGGGCGGGGGGCTGACCCCCCACCTCCCTCCCAGACGGGGCGGCTGGCCGGGCAGAGAGGCTCCTCACTTCCCATCAGGGGCTGCCAGGCAGAGGCACCCCTCACTTCCCGGATGGGGCGGCTGGCCGGGTGGGGGGCTAACCCACCCACCTCCCTCCCGGAGGAGGCGGCTGGCCGGGCGGGCGGCTGACCCCCCACCTCCCTTCCGGATGGGGTGGCTGGCCAGGCGGGGGGCTGACCCCCCCACCTCACTCCCGAACGAGGTGGCTGCCGGGCGGAGACGCTCCTCACTTCCGAGACGGGGTGACTGCCGGGCGGAGGGGCTCCTCACTTCTCAGACGGGGTGGTTGCCAGGCAGAGGGTCTCCTCACTTCTCAGACGGGGCGGCCGGGCAGAGACATTCCTCACATCCCGGACGGGGCGGCAGGGCAGAGGTGCTCCCCACATCTCAGATGATGGGCGGCCGGGCAGAGACGCTCCTCACTTCCCAGATGTGATGGCGGCCGGGAAGAGGCGCTCGTCACTTCCTAGATGGGATGGCGGCCGGGCAGAGACGCTCCTCACTTTCCAGACTGGGCAGCCAGGCAGAGGGGCTCCTCACATCCCAGACGATGGGCGGCCAGGTGGAGACGCTCCTCACTTCCCAGACGGGGTGGCGGCCGGGCAGAGGCTGCAATCTCGGCACTTTGGGAGGCCAAGGCAGGCTGCTGGGAGGTGGAGGTTGTAGCGAGCCAAGATCACGCCACTGCACTCCAGCCTGGGCACCATTGAGCACTGAGTGAACGAGTCTCCGTCTGCAATCCCGGCATCTCGGGAGGCCGAGGCTGGCGGATCACTCGCGGTTAGGAGCTCAGCCCGGCCAACACAGCGAAACCCCGTCTCCACCAAAAAAATACGAAAACCAGTCAGGCGTGGCGGCGCGCGCCTGCAATCGCAGGCACTCGGCAGGCTGAGGCAGGAGAATCAGGCAGGGAGGTTGCAGTGAGCCGAGATGGCAGCAGTACCATCCAGCTTCGGCTCGGCATCAGAGGGAGACCGTGGAAAGAGAGGGAGAGAGAGACCGTGGGGAGATGGAGAGGGTGAGGGAGAGGGAGAGGGAGAGGGAGAGCTATCAGTTTTCTTTCTTGTGCATTATTTTCACAGTAATATAAATTATGGACATCAAAATATCCTCAGGGTTAAAAACGTTGGAGTCCAAGCATTCTATATTCTTGATTTGTATGGTTTCACTTATGACTCAGCATTTTAGGAAAACATTGGCTCTATAATCTGTCACCCTCACCCCATTTAAATAAAAACATACTTTTTTGGACACAAGGATCAGGCATACACATCTACACAGTGGATCACATCATTTTTGGGGGCAAACTGAAAACTGTTTTTATACTCAAACATACTGTTGGGAAACTGTGAAATAAAAATTTCTGATGTTTGTTAAAAATTGGGAAGAAAGACATTAATACTATTGTAGTAGATTTTATGGCCATCGTAATAGGGTTCAGTTCAGAAATTGATCATAACTCTGAACACAGACAACGAAGAATTTATAGTCAATAAGCAGAATAAATCAGTGGATAAAAATTATTGAAAAACATTTGATAAAATACCAAAGGAGGAAGAGGAACTTTTTATAGCAGAAGGCTGGTTACAGGTTGGCTAAGGACTTAAATATCAAAGAAAGGGAATCACGATATTAGTAGACATAAGGGATATGTGGATTTTTACTAAACAGTATTAGCAGGATTTATGAAAGTGAGCCTCTCAAACCAGGAGCAGGGCAAGAAGTCAAGGTTGGCTTAGTCAAAAAGAGGGTTCAGTTAAGCTTGACTAACATTTGGTCATAAAGGGAGTGCTTACAAGAACCCAGATTTTTTTCCCATCTGATCTGAAAATAAATAATCACCAAAAAAGGCTTTGTTTGAAAAATGAGTGCCCACTTCACCTGAGAAAACCTCCATCTTCTTCTGTTTACCTTTGAATTTAGTGTAGAAAAAGAGCACTTGTCATCGCCACAGTTTTAATTTTGCTTTCACTCTTAAAAACAGAGAGTCAGGGCTGGGTGTGGTTGTTCATGCCTGTAATCCCAGCATTTTGGGCATGGTGATGCAAGCACACCTGTAATCCCAGCTACTTGAAAGGCTGAGGCAGGAGAATCACTTGAACCCAAGAGTCAGAGGTTTCAGTGAGCCAAAATCACACCACTGCACTCCAGCCTGGTGACAGAGTGAGACTCCATCAAACAAAACAAAACAAAACAAAACAAAACAAAACAAAACACAAAATTAGAAATTTAGTTTTATTCAAACAGCAACTTACAAACACAAAGGTTATAGTTTCTGACCCCTATTCAAGACAATTGGTTGTAACCATAAGTATTGATGGGACTTCAGGGAGATTCCTCAGATGGAGCTGATGCAGCTGTGCAAGCCACTTTGACCTTGCATCTTTCCTACTTCTTAGCCTTTGAAATGGACATGGTTGCTGGTGCAGGCTTGTGCTCCTACAGCCAGCCATATGGGACCATGAGACAGCCTACAGGATAAAAACCATCTACTGAAATATTGTAGCAAAGTGTGCCAAGAGGGTTGACTAGAAGTAGCTATGGTGTGTGGCTTTCATGAAAAGAAACAAAGAGGGAAAATAAATACAGCACCATCAACTGAAACACCCAGATATTTGCAGTGGGACTAATGAAGGAAACAGCTCAACCCATGGGAAAAAGAAGGGCATGGCAACCGCCCACCCGGGAGTAACACAGACCAAAGGGAACCTACCCTGCCCAAGGAAGTGGTGAGCAAATACGTGACCCTGAGAAACCACACTTCTCCCATGGATCTTTGCAACTCTCGGATCAGGAGATTTTCTCGTAAACTTATTCCACCAGGGCCTTTGGTCTGATACACAGAGCTGCGTGTTCCCGGCAGAACAACTGCTCAGACACAAACAGAATCGCAGGAGCTTTACATATTTTGGCTCTGAGATCTCTGGCAAAGGTGACTGCAACTCAGACAAGGTGGGAGGTTGGATCTCCGTAAATGCCCCTAGAAAGGAAGCTGAATCCATGGGCCTGAGCAGCATCAGTGGGCCCCACTTCCATGACGCCTCACAGGATAAGATCAACTGGCTTGGAATTCCATCCAGCCCCCAGCAACAGCATTGCAATTACCTGGGATGGAACAACGTTCCTGGAGGCAGGGGCTGGCTGCTATATTTGCTGTTTGGATGACTCAGCCATTCCAGCCTGGAGGTTTAGGAGAGTTAAAAAAAAAAAAAACTCATGGCAGATGGAAGAAATCCCTTAGCACGGCACATTGGCCCTCCCAAAGTTTGGCCGGACTACTTCTTGAAGTGGGACCCAGATACCTTTTTCATCTCAGAGTGGGGCCTCCTACCAGAGCCTCCAGACAGCCCCTTCCATATTCTCCGGCAGGCAGAGTTTTGATTTATTCCTGGATGCAGTGCACATTGGGAGCAGTGGGTCTTCATATTTGTTGTTTGGAGAACTCAGCCATAACAATCAGTGGGCTTAGGAGAGTCCAAACCATCCCAGGGAAGAAGGAATCCCCCAGCATAGCACAGTGGATCTGCCATAATGTGATCAGATTGCTTCTTTAAGTGGGACCTAATATGCTCTGCATCTCTGGGTGGAACTTCCCAACCAGGGCCTCCAGCAACTCCCACTGATGTTGTCTGGCTGGCAGAGGTTTAAAAACTTCCTGGGCCAGAGTTCCTAGAGAGAGGGGTTGGCCACCATCTTTGCTGTTTCAGCCACTTTGCTGTTTCAGCCTCCAGGCTTTGGAGAGCCCAATCTGATGAAGGGCAGAAATGGTACCCCGCACAGCATGGCTGATCTATGAAAGTGGGGCTAGATGGCTTAAGTGGGTCCCCAATCCTATTCCTCCTAGCTGGGTGAGACCTACCAACTGGGGTTTCCAGTCACCTCCTACAGGTGTGTTCGAGCCCTCAACATGTCTGCACCCGCCCTGGGATGGAGCTCCCAGGGAAGGGAGTGGGCTGCTATCTTTCTTGTTTCACAGCCTTCACTGGTGATACCCCCAGATACTGGAAAATCCGAGGTGACAAGAGAGTGGAGCAGATGCCCAACAAACTACAGCAGCCCCACACAAAATGGCCAAACAGTTAAAAGGAAGAGAAACAAACAAAAATCTCATTCAAAGGCCAGCAACCTCAAAGATTAAAGATAGATAGGCACACAAAGGTGAGAATCACAACAAGAATACTAAAAACTCAAAAATCAGGGTGCTCTCCCTCTCCCAAATGACCACACTACTTCTCCAGCAAGAGTTCAGAATAAGGGTGAGGCTGTGATCCCTGAAATAACAGAAGTAGACCCCAGAATGTGGATAAAAATGAACTTCACTGATCTAAAGGAGCATGCTCTAACTCAATACAAGAAAGCTAAAAATTACAATATAATATTGCAGGAGCTGACAAACAAATTAGCCAGGATAGAGAGGAGCCTAACCAACCCGATAGCACTGTAAAACACAATACAAAAATTTCATAATGCAATCACAAGTATTAATGAGGAAAGAAACTCAGAGCTTGAAGTTTGTATTTCTGAAAGAAGACATGCAGAGAAGAATAGAAAAAAAGAATGAAAGGAATAAACAAAACCTTTGAGAAATATGGGATTATGTAAAGAGACCAAATCTACAACTGATTGGTGTACTTGAAAGAGCTGGGGAGAATGGAACCAATCAGGAAAACATATTTCAGGATATCATCAATGAGAACTTCCCCAACCTTGCTACACTGGCCAACAATTCAGAAAATGGAGAGAAGTTCAGTAAGATACTCCAAGAAAAAATCATACCCAAGACACATAAACGTCAGATTCCCCAAACTTGAAATGGAAGAAAAAAAAAGAAAAAAAAGCTCAGCCGCAGAGAAAAGCCAAGTCACCTACAAAAAGAAGTTGATCAGACTAAGAGCAGAGCTGTCAGTGAGAACCCTACAAGCCAAAAGAGATTGGGGGCCAATATTTAACGTTCTTAAAGAAAATAAACTTTAAGCCAGAATTTTATATCTGGCCAAACTAAGCTTAATCTGGGGAGAAATAACATCCCTTTCAGACAAGCAAATTCCGAGTTAATTCATGAACACCAGACATGCTTTTCAAGAGCTCCTGAAGGAAGCACCAATTTGGAAAGGGAAAATTATTCCCAGCCACCACAAAAACACACTCAAGTACACAGACCATTGACACTATAAATCAACCACATAAACAAGTCTGAAAAATAAAAATAACCAGCTAGCATCAAGATAACAAGATAAAATCTACGCATAACAATACTTACCTTAAATGTAAATGGGATAAATGCCCCAGTTGAAACACACAGGGTGGCAATTGTATAAAAACCAAGACCCATTGGTATGCTCTTCAAGACACCCATCTCACATGCGGGGACACACATAGGCTAAAAATAAAGGGATGGAGGAAATTTCACCAAGCAAGTGGAAAACCTAAAAAAGCAAGGGTTGCAGTCTTACTTTCCAACAAAACAGACTTTAAAGCAACACAGATTAAAAACAACAACAACAACAACAACAAAGAGGGTCATTACATAACGGCAAATAATTCAATTCAACAAGAATTAACTATTCTAAATATATATGCACCCAACACAAGAGTACCCAGATTCATATAACAAGTTTCTAGATATCTTGAAAGAGACTTAGAACACCACACAATAATAGTGACCGACTTTAACATCCCACTGACAGTATTAGAAAGATTATTGAGACAGAAAATTAACAAAGATGTTCAGGACCTGAACTTAGCTCTGGATCAAATGGACATGATATATATTTACAGAACTCTCCACATGAAAACAGCAGAATATACATTCTTCTCATCACTACATGACACTTTCTCTGAAATTGGTCACTTAGCCAGAAGTAAAACACTCTTCAGCAAATGCAAAAGAACTGAAATCATAATAAACAGTGGCTCAGATCACAGCACAATCAAATTAAAACTCACGATGAAATAATTTACTGAAAACCATAAAATTAAATGGAAATTGAATCACCTGCTCCTGAATAACTTTTGGGTAAATAATGAAATTAAGGCAGATATCAAGGAGTTCTTTGAAACCAATGAGAACAAAGACAAAACATACCAGAATCTCTGGGACACAGCTAAGGCAGTATTAAGATGAAAATTTATGGCATTAAATGCCCACATTAAAATGCCAGAAATGTCTCAAGTTACAACTTCACAACAAAAATAACTACAGGAACAAGAGCAAAGAAGTTCTAGAGCTAGCAGAAGACAAGAAATAACCAAAATCAGACCTGAACTGATGGAGATAGGGACAAGAGAAACCATTCAACAGATCAACAAATTCAGGAGCTGTTTCTTTTTCTTTGAAAAAACCAATAATATAAATACACCAGTAGTAGACTAATAAGGAAGAAAATATCAAAAATTAAAATGAACACAATCAGAAATAATAAGGGTTACCACTGACCCCACAGAAATAAAAATAACCATCAGAAAATATCATAAACACCTCTATGCCTATAAGATAACAAATTCAGTAGAAATGGATAAATTTCTGGACACATACACCCTTCAAGAATAAACCAGGAAGAAATTGAATCCCTGAAAAGACAAACAACAGGCTCTGAAATTCAGGCAGTAATAAATAGCCTACAAACCACAAAAAGATCAGAAACACAAAGATTAAAAGCTGAAGGTTATGACATTTATGAAGAAGAACTGGTACAATTCCCACTAAAATTATTTCAAAAAACTGAAACAGAGGGCTTCCTTCCCGACTCTTTCTATGAGAGCACATCATCCTGGTACCAAAACCTGGCAGACACACAAGAAAAAAAACAAAACTTCAAAAAATTTGCAAGAAGAAAACAACCCCATCAAAAAGTGGGCGAAGGACATGAACAGACGCTTCTCAAAAGAAGACATTTATGCACCCAAAAAACACATGAAAAAATGCTCACCATCACTGGCCATCAGAGAAATGCAAATCAAAACCACAATGAGATACCATCTCACACCAGTTAGAATGGCAATCATTAAAAAGTCAGGAAACAACAGGTGCTGGAGGAGATGTGGAGAAATAGGAACACTTTTACACTGTTGGTGGGACTGTAAACTAGTTCAACCATTGTGGAAGTCAGTGTGGCAATTCGTCAGGGATCTAGAACTAGAAATACCATTTGACCCAGCCATCCCATTTCTGGGTATATACACAAAGGACTATAAATCATGCTGCTTTAAAGACACAGGCACACGTTTGTTTATTGCGGCACTATTCACAATAGCAAAGACTTGGAACCAACCCAAATGTCCAACAATGATAGACTGGATTAAGAAAATGTGGCACATATACACCATGGAATACTATGCAGCCATAAAAAATGATGAGTTCATGTCCTTTGTAGGGACACGGATTAAATTGGAAATCATCATTCTCAGTAAACTATCACAAGAACAAAAAAACCAAACACCGCATGTTCTCACTCATAGGTGGGAATTGAACAATGAGATCACATGGACACAGGAAGGGGAACATCACACTCTGGGGACTGTTGTGATGAGGGGGGAGGGGAGAAGGATAGCATTGGGAGATATACCTAATGCTAAATGTCGAGTTAATGGGTGCAGCACACAAGCATGGTGCATGCGTACATATGTAACTAACCTGCACATTGTGCACATGTACCCTAAAACTTAAAGTATAATAATAATAAAATAAAAAAAGAAAAAAAAAAACTTCATGCCAATATTTTTGATGAACATTTATGCAAACATTCTTAACAAAATAGGGGCAAACCAAATCCAGCAGCGCATCAGAAAGCTTATCCACCACAATCAAGTAGGCTCCATCTGTGGGATGCAACTTTAATTCAACGTACACAAATCAATATGTGATTTATCACATAAACAGAACTAAAGACAAAAGCCACATGATTGTCTGAATAGATGCAGATAAATCTTTGCATCCATAAAATTCAACATCCATTCTTGTAAAAACTCTCAATAAACTAGGTATTGAAAAAAACATACTTCAATATAATAAGAACCATGTATGACAAACCCACAGCCAATATCATACTGAAAGGGCAAAAGCTGAAAGCATTCCCTTTTAAAACGGGCACAAGACAAGGATGCCCTCTCTCATGAATCCTATTTCAGATAGTATTGGAAGTACTGGGCAGAGCAATCAGGTAAGAGAAAAAGGCATTCAAATTGAAAGAAAAGAAATTAAACAACACCTGATGTCAGACGACATGATTCTATATCTTGAAAACCCCTATTGTCTCAACCCCAAAGCTTCTTAAGCTGATAAATATCTTTAACAAAGTCCCAAGATACAAAATAAATGGGCCAAAATCACTAGCACTAAATCCTTATATACCAACAACAGTCAAGCCAAGAGCAAAATCGTGAATGAACACTCATTCACAGTTACCACAAAAAGAATAAAATACCAAGGAATGTATCTAACAAGAGAAGTGAAAGGCCACTACAAGGAGAACTATAAACCACTTCTCAAAGAAATCAGACATGACATAAACAAATAGAAAAACATTTCATGCTTATGGATAGAAAGAGTTAATATTGTTAAAGTAGACACACTCCACAAAGAAATTTATAGAGTTAATAGTATTTCCGTTAAACTACCAATGACATTTTTCACAAAACTAGAAAAGCTATTTTAAAATTTATATGGAACCAACAAAGGCCTGAATAGTCAAGACAACCCCAAACAAAAAGAACTAAGCTGGAGGCATCACACTACCCAACTTCAAACTGTGCTACAGGGCTACAGAAACCAAAACAGCATGGTACTGGTACAAGAACAGACACACAGACCAATGAAACAGAATAGAGGACCCAGAAATAAGACTGCACACCTACAACTAACTGATCTTCGACAAACCTGACAAAAACAAGCAATGAAAAAACGACTCTGTACTCAATAAATGGTGCTGGGATAACTGCCTAGCCATGTGCAAAAAATTGAAACTGAACCCCTTCCTCCATCATCCTCTGCAACTAACACAGGAACAGAAAACTAACCACCGCATATTCTCACTCATAAGTGGGAGTTGAACAATAAGAACACATGGACACTGGAAGGGAAACAACACAACTGGGGCTAGTCAGGGAATGGGAGTCGAAGGGAGGGAGAGCATTAGGATAACTAGCTAATACATGTGGGACTTGAAGCCTGGATAACGGGCTGATAGGTGCAGTAAACCACCATGGCACACATATACCAATGTAACAAACCTACACATTCTGCACTTGTACTTCAGAACCCAATTTAAATTTAAAAAATAAAGAAAGATTCCTTACATCATATACAACAATAAACTCAACATGGTTTAAATGTAAAACCCAAGACTATAAAAACTTTGGAAGACAACCTAGGCAATACCATTCAGGACATAGGCATGGGCAAATATTTTATGATGAAGGCGCAAAAGCAATTAGAACAAAGAGAACATTGACAAATGGGATCTAATTAAACTAAAGAGCTTTTGCACAGCAAAAGAAACTATCAACAGAGTAAACAGACAATGTATAGAATGGGAGAAAATTTTTGCAAACTGTGCATCTGACAATAATCTAATTTCTAGCATCCATAAGGAACATAAATTTACACGAGAAAAACAAACAACCTTATTAAAAATTGGCCAAAGGACACACAGAAACACTTCTTGAAAGAAGACATACATGCAGCCAATAAGCGTATGAAACAGAAGTTCAACATCAGTGACCATTAGAGAAATGTAAATCCAAACCACAATGAGATATCATTTTATACCAGGTATAATGGTTACCATGAAAAAATCAAAAAATCACAGATGCTGACAAAGTTGTGGAGAAAAAGCAACATTTTTACCCTGTTGGTCGAGTTCAAACGTTGTGGAAGACAGTGTGGTGATTCTTCAAAGACCTAAAGAAAAGAATACCATTTGACCTAGCAATCTCATTACTGGGTATATACCCAAACAAATATAAGTCATTCTATTATAAAGATACCTGCACGCACAAGTTCATCACAGCCCTATTCACAATAGCAAAGACATCAAATCAGCCTACATGTTCATCAATAATAGACTGGTTGAAGAAAACGTAGTTCATATACAACATGGAGTACTATGCAGCCATAAAAAAGCACAAGATTATGTCCTTTGTAGGGACATGGATGGAGCTGGAGGCCATTATCCTTAAAAAACTAACAGAAACAGAAAACCAAATACCACATTTTCTCACTTATAAGTGGAGGGTAGATGATGAGAACACACAGAAACATGGAGGGGAGCAACACGCACCAGGGCCTATCAGGAGGTAGGGGGTGAGAGGAGGGAGAGAATCAGAAAAAATAACTAATAGTTAGTAGACTTAATACCTGGGTGATAAAACAATCTGCACAACCAAACTTCGGGACGGTATGTTTCCATATTTAAAGAACCTGCACATCCTGCCCATATACCCCTGAACTTAAAACAAAGTTCAAAAAAGAAAAACATTTTAGCAAAATGACAGACTATTTTTGACTACCTTCGTGTACAGTTCAGAGTCAGACTGCCCAGCTCTAACATCCTTATTTATGAGAAAGAAAGCATTCTCTCTCTTATCTGCACTATTATATTGGGTTTTCTTTTTTAATTTTTTTGAGACGGAGTTTCACTCTTATTGCCCAGACTGGAGTGCAATGGCGCGATCTCGGTTCACCACAATCTCTACCTCCCGGGTTCAAGCGATTCTCCTGCCTCAGCCTCTCAAGAAGCAGGGATTACAGGCATGCACCACTACGCCTGGAAAATTTTGTATTTTTGGTAGAGACTGGGTTTCTCTATGTTGGTCAGGCTGGTCTTAAACTCCAGACCTCTGGTGATCCGTCTGCCTCAACCTCCCAATGTGTTGGGATAACAGGCGTGAACTACAGCACCCGGTCTGGGTTTTCTTCTATATGTAGGAAAATGTAATCCTAACTAAAGTGCTAGCTTTGCCATGGAATCTCTGTGTAATTCTGGATGTTATGTCACTTTCCTAAGACTTTTTTCTATCTGCATAGTGGTGGAGGCAGTAGTGGGGAAGATTTAATTATACAAAGGGTCCATCAATCCATGTGTTAAGTGAGGATGTCACTACTTTCCAGACTCAGAGGACAGGGGACATATTGTTATGCTCCATGGAAGCTGTTTGGGGGTGGAGGTGGGGCTCACTTGCACACATTGTCTGTGGGCCTTGAAAGATCAAGTGTGTATGACCCTTCTTGAACAGAAGGTCCATGTGCCCAGTGCAGAACCCATCTATTTCTTCCCAAGTGAGGAAGATCTGGGAACACCCTGATCACAGCCTTGCTACACCAATCCTAGTTGGTAGGGACGTTAGACCATATGCATGTTGAGCTGTGGCTTAAGCATTTTGACATCTCACATCTCATTGGATATCTGAAAAACTGAGGTCTGGAGAGAAGCAGGGACTGGCCCAGAGATGATGAAGTGGGCAGAGTCCAAGGGAAAAAAGAGCATTCTGACCTCCTAGGCCAGGGCTCAACACTCTCATGGGGTTTGTTTTGGGAATGAGTCCCTGAGATCCTGGGGATTTTTGCCAATTTTCTCGTCATATGAAGCAAACTCATGTCTGCATCATAGAATTCCACAGGTTTGTGCATACACACACAGACTTCTCAGGCTAAAGGTCATAAGAGGAGTTAACGCTGATGGAGTGATGAGAAGAAAAAAGATAGAGGATAGGGGCAGCTTTGTCATGGGGTAGAAGCACCCCATCTTCTGGTAACATGCCCAGGACCCATAACATGGGCAGGGGAAGGCAATAGGCTGATGGCTTGAGAGGCTCAAGGCTTCCATGGATCTGACTGGGCTGCAGCCAACACCAGGATAGCTTTCCAAGGACAAAACCTTACTTTCTCCATTCATTAATCTGCATAATTAAAATGGTAAGGAATCCCCCTACACCCAATATGGAGAGGAATACAGTAGTGAAAACCTTCAATTTTTCCCTGTACAAATTGACATAATTGAACTGTGTGACCCCTAAATTTGAAAGGCTTAAAGAAGTGAGTTGACCTTGCTGTCTATCAATTACCACTGTACTCTCAGAACTTTGGAAATTGCTCTGTGTCCTCCGAAGGTCTTTCAGAGCAGAAAGTGGCCTAGGGGTGTGCGGGACTGAGCACTCAGGCTGGTGTAGAATGTGACAGATCCTCAGACCACTGCTCTGGGATCCAAGGAGAAGACCTTCTCGGTCAGAGCTTTGGGGATCTTTTTTTTGGAGGGGGCGATCTTTTTTGAAAGTGGAGACAGAATCGTTTTCCAGGGCTCCCTCATTTGCCCTCCTGTTTCATAGTATTTCTTTTTTCTGTCTTTCTTTCTTTCTTTCTTTCTTTCTTTCTTTCTTCTTTCTTTCTTTCTTCTTTCTTTTTCTTTCTTTCTTCTTTCTTTCTTTCCTTCTTTTTCTTTCTCTTTCTTTCTTTCTCCTTCGTTTCTTTTCTTTCTTCCTTTCTTTCTTCTTTCTCTTTCTTTTGTTCTTCCTTCATTCCTTCCTTCCGTTTCTTTCTTTCTTCTTTCTTTCTTTCCTCTTCCTTCATTCCTTCCTTCCTTTTCTTTCTTTCTTTCTTTCTTTCTCTTTCTTTCTCCTTCCTTCCTCCCTCCCTTTCTTTTCTTTCTTTCCTTATTTTCTTTTTTCTTTCTTCTTTCTTTCTTTCTTCTTTCTTTCTTTCTTTCTTTCTTTCTTTCTTTCTTTATCAGAGTCTCTCTCTTCTCGCTCTTTCACGGGACTGGAGTGGAGTGGCATGATCTCGGCTCACTGCAACCTCCACCTCCCGGGTTCAAGTGATTCACTGCAACCTCCACCTCCCAGGTTCAAGTGATTCTCCTGCCTCAGCCTCCTGAGTAGCTGGGAATATAAGGGCGTGCCACCAAGCCTGGCTAATTTTTGTATTATTAGTAGAGACGGGGTTTCGCCATGTTGTCCAGGATGGTCTCGATCTCTTCACCTCGTGATCTGCTTGTATCAGCCTCTGAAAAAAACTGAGATTATAGGTGTGAGCCACCACACAAAGCCTACAGTTTATTTTTCTTTGCTTGTTAAAATGTTTTAGTCAGCTAAAATTTACACAATATAGAGTTCTACATACTATCTAATATAAAGTGTAAAATTCAGTGCTTTTCAGTTTATTTACAATGCTATGCAACTGTCACCCTTATCAAATTCCAAAATAGTTTCATCACCCTCTCACCAAAAAAACTCCATATCCATTAAGCAGTAATTTATCATTCATCCACCGAATTTCCTTGGTAACCACTGATTGACTTTCTATCTCTAGTACTCTCTTTCTTTCTTTCCTTTTTTTTTTTTTTTTTTGGTGTCTCACTCTGTCACCCATGCTAGAGTGCAGTGGCACGATCTCGGCTCGCTGCAAGCTCCACCTCCCTGGTTCACGCCATTCTCCTGCCTCAGCCTCCAGGGTAGCTGGGACTACAGATGCCTGTCAGCACGCCCAGCTATTTTTCTTTGTATTTTTAGTAGAGACAGGGTTTCACCATGTTAGCCAGCATGGTCTCGATCTCCTGACGTCGTGATCTGCCTGCTTCGGCCACCCAAAGTGCTGGGATTACAGGCGTGAGCCATCACACCCGGCTTCTATTTCTAGTTTTCTATTCTAGTCACTTTATAGAAATATAATAATATAATATGTGACCTTTTTTCTTTGGCTTTTCTCTTTGAGCGTGTTTTCATTATTTATCCATGTTGTGGCACATATCAGTTCTGTATTTATTTTTATGGCTAGCTAATACTCCATTGTATAAATAATATTCTATTGGCCAGGGACGATGGCTCACACCTATAAACTCAGTATTTTGGGAGGCTGAGGCTGGTGGATCACCTGAGGTCAGGAGTTCTAGACCAGCCTGGCTGACATGGTGAAACACTGTGTCTACTAAAAATACAAAAATTAGCCGGGCGTGGTTCCTGAAAGCCCAATTGCTCAGGAGGCTGAGGCCAGGGAATCTCTTGAACCCAGGAGGTGGAGGTTACAGTGAGCTGAGATCGTGCCACTGCACTCCAGCATGGGTGACAGAGCAAGACTGTCTCAAAAAAAAAGAAAGAAAATGAGAGGAAATATGTGCAAACTACACAGCTGACAAGCGATTGATAAGCAGAATACAGAATAAACAAAAAACTAAATAAAAAATTAGTTTAACTTTAAAATGGGCAATAATCTTCAGAAACATTTCTGGAAAATGTAAGGGGCATAAACATAGAACCTAAAAGTTAGAGAAGAATTATGAAAAAACTGAAGGATATAGAAAAAATAATTTCAGACTATTCACATTAAAATTTAATTAGAGAGGGGGTGGAGCCAAGATGGGCGAATAGGAAAAGCCTTAGTCTAGAACTCCCAGCATCGGCAATGCAGAACACAGGTGATTTCTGCATTTCCAACTGAGGTACCGGGCTCATCTCACTGGGGAGTGTCAGAAAGTGGGTGCAGGACAGTGGGTGCAGCGCACCCCATGTGAGCCAAAGCATGGTGAGGCATCGCCTCACCCAGGAAGTGCAAGGGGTCAGGGAATACCCTTTCCTAGTCAAAGAAAGGGGTGACAGATTGCACCTGGAAAATCGGGTGACTCCCACCCTAACACTGTACTGTTCCAAAGGTCTTAGCAAACGGCATACCAGGAGATTATATCCTGCACCTGGCTCAGAGGGTCCTACGCCCACAGAGCCACAATCATTGCTAGCACAGCAGTCTGAGATCAAACTGCAAGGCAACAACAAGCCTGGGGGAGGGGCGCCCACCATTGCCGTGGCTTGAGTAGGTAAACAAAGCAGCCAGGAAGCTCCAACTGGGTGGAGCCAACTGCATCTCAAGGAGGCCTGCCTGACTCTGTAGACTCCACCTCTGGGGGCAGGGAATAGCCAAACAAATGGCAGCAGAATCCTCTGCAGACTTAAATGTCCCTGTCTGACAGCTTTGAAGAGAGTAGTGGTTATCCCAGCATGCAACTGGAGATCTGAGAACAGACAGACTGCCTCCTCAAGTGGGTCCCTGACCCCCGAGTAGCCTATCTGGGAAGCATCCCCAGTAGGGGCAGACTGACACCTCACACGGCCGGGTACTCCTCTGAGACAAAATTTCCAGAGGAACAATCAGGCAGCAATATTTGCTTTTCACCAATATCCGCTGTTCTGCAGCCTCCACTGCTGATACCCAGGCAAACAGGGTCTGGAGTGGACCTCCAGCAAACTCCAACAGACCTGCAGCTGAGGGTTCTGACTGTTAGAAGGAAAACTAACAAACAGAAAGTACATCCACAACAAAATCCCATCTGTACATCACAATCATCAAAGACCAAAGGAGAGAAAACTACAAAGATGGGGAAAAAACAGAGCAGAAAAACGGAAAATTCTAAAAATCAGAGTATCTCTCCACCTCCAAAGGAACACAGCTCCTCACCAGCAATGGAACAAAGCTGGACAGAGAATGACTTTGACGAATTGAGAGAAGAAGGCTTCAGACGATCAAACTACTCCGAGCTAAAGGAGGAAGTTCAAACCCATGGCAAAGAAGTGAAAAACCTTTAAAAAAATTAGATGAATAGCTAACTAGAATAACCAATGCAGAGAAGTTCGTAAAGGACCTGATGGAGCTGAAAACCAATGTACGAGAAGTACGTGATGAATGCACAAGCCTCAGTAGCCAATTCGATGAACTGGAAGAAAGGGTGTCAGTGATGGAAGATCAAATGAATGAAATGAAGTGAGAAAAGAAGTTTAGAGAGAAAAAGATAAAAAGAAATGAACAAAACCTCCAAGAAATATGGGACTGTGTGAAAAGACCAAATCTACATCTGATTGGTGTACCTGAAAGTTATGAGGAGAATGGAAACAAGTTGGAAAACACTCTGAAGGATATTATCCATGAGAACTTCCCCAATCTAGCAAGGGAGGGTGACATTCAAATTCAGGAAATACAGAGAACACCAAAAAGATAATCCTCAAGAAGAGCAACTCCAAGACACATAATTGTCAGATTCACCAAAGTTGAAATGAAGGAAAAAATGTTAAGGGCAGCCAGAGAGAAAGGTCGGGTTACCCACAAAGGGAAGCCCATCAGACTAACAGCTGATCTCTCGGCAGAAACTCTACAAGCCAGAAGAGTGGGGAACAATATTCAACATTCTTAAAGAAAAGAATTTTCAATCCAGAATTTCATATTCATTCAAACTAAGCTTCATAAGTGAAGGAGAAATAAAATCCTTTACATACAAGCAAACGATGAGAGATTTTGTCACCACCAGGCCTGCCCTAAAAGAGCTCCTGAAGGAAGCACTAAACATGGAAAGGAACAACCGGTACCAGCCACTGCAAAAACATGCCAAGTTGTAAAGACCATCGAGGCTAGGAAGAAACTGCATCAACTAACGAGCAAAATAACCAGCTAACATCATAATGACAGGATCAAATGCACACAAAACAATATTAACCTTAAAAGTAAATGGACTAAATTCTCCCATTAAAAGACACAGACTGGCAAATTGGATAAAGAGTCAAGACCCATCAGTGTTCTGTATTCAGGAAACGCATCTCACGTGCAGAGACACACATAGGCTCAAAATAAAGGGATGGAGGAAGATCTACCAAGCAAATGGAAAACAGAAAAAGGCAGGGGTTACAATCCTAGTGTCTGATAAAACAGACTTTAAAACAATAAAGATCAAAAGAGACAAAGAAGTCCATTACGTAATGATAAAGGGATCAATGCAATAAGAAGAGCTAATTATCCTGAATATATATGCACCCAATATAGGAGCACACAGATTCATAAAGCAAGTCCTTAGAGACCTAGAAAGAGACTTAGACTCCCACACAATAGTAATGGGAGATTTTAACACCCCACTGTCAACATTAGACATATCAATGAGACAGATAGTTAACAAGGATATCCAGGAATTGAACTCAGCTCTGCACCAAGCAGACCTAATAGACATCTACAGAACTGTCCACCCCAAATCAACAGAATATACATTCTTCTCAGCACCGCACCGCACTTATTCCAAAATTGACCACATAGTTGGAAGTAAAGCACTCCTCAGCAAATTGTAAAAGAACAGAAATTATAAAAACCTCTCTCTCAGACCACACTGCAATAAAACTAGAACTCAGGATTAAGAAACTCACTCAAAACCGCTCAACTACATGGAAACCAAACAACCTGCTCCCGAATGACTACTGGGTACATAACGAAACGAAGGCAGAAATAAAGATGTTCTTTGAAAGCAACGAGAACAAAGACACAACATACCAGAATCTATGGGACACATTCAAAGCAGCGTGTAGAGGGAAATTTATAGCACTAAAGGCCCACAAGAGAAAGCAGAGAAGATCTAAAATTGACACCCTATCATCACAATTAAAAGAACTAGAGAAGCAAGAGCAAACACATTCAAAAGCTAGCAGAAGGCAAGAAATAACTAAGATCAGAGCAGAATTGAAAGAAATAGAAACATAAAAAACCCTTCAAAAAATCAGTGAATTCAGGAGCTGGTTTTTGAAACGATCAACAAAATTGATAGACTGCTAGCAAGACTAGTAAAGAAGAAAAGAGAGAAGAATCAAATAGACGCAATAAAAACTGATCATTTATGTGGCTCAAGTTCTCTAATATAACATAGTACGGTCAAAATGGAAGGGTAAAAATTGCAAGACCACCTTAACGTTTGTCATCTTAAGTGTACTATAAAAATGCCTTTTAAATTAATTCAGTGAATAGGTTTTTAAGTGCATGTTTTAGATTATGCTGAACTGTCAAATACCAGCACATCCCTAATTTGCAGTAGATTAACAGCACTTTTTAGCACACATCACAGAGTTGTTCGGTGGCCAAATTGAAAAGGCACCTCCTCTCCATGTGGTCATTCAGAAACTCAAAGTTCTTTCATTATTTGTCTTCATCATCCATGAGTCGTGGTTGCCGTTTGTGTTCAGTCCCCTGAAAATAAAGTACTTTAAGAAATGCATGCGAGAAGACTTGATGGACTCATCTTAATGTGACTCACATCCATCTCACTCTACAACCATTAACAATAACTGGTCACGTTTCCACATCTCATGCAAATGAGGCTAAGAAATGTAATTCTGCTGTGTCCCTAATAAATGGGAGAATAGAATTTGTTGAATGACCAGAGTTTTCCGTAACATTGTGTCACTCATATGGATTTACTGTGTTTCTCAAATATTTATTAAACATCTGTCATAGCCAAGCACTGTGATAAGGAGTACAGGGAGGACAGAGAGCTGACTCAGCAGAGTCCTAGTCTGAAAGAAACTCACAATCTAAGAAAATAAGAAAAGTCATGTTAGGTGCTGCTATAAAGGCACATGCACACGTATGTTTATTGTGGCACTACTCACAATGCAAATACTTGGAACCAACCGAAATGTCCAACAATGATAGACTGGATCAAGCAAATGTGGCCCATATACACCATGGAATGCTATGCAGCCATAAAAAATGATGAGTTCATGTCCTTTGTGTGTACATGGATGAAGCTGGAAAAGATAATTCTCAGCAAACTATCACAAGGACAAAAAAAAACAAACACCACATGTTCTCGCTTATAGGTGGGAATTGAACAATGAGAACACTTGGACACAGGAAGGGTAACATTACCCACTGGGGAATGTTGTTGGGGGGGGAGGGGGGAGGGATAGCATTTGGAGATATACCTAATGTAAATGACGAGTTAATGGGTGCAGCTCACCAACATGGCACATGTATACATAAGTAACAAACCTGCACGTTGTGCACATGTACCCTAGAACTTAAAGTATAATAAATATATGTATAACATACGTATATATTATATACATGTTCAAGGGATTCTCCTGCCTCAGCCTCCCAAGTAGCTGGGATTACAAGCGCTGCCATTACTCCCAGCTATTTTTTGTATTTTTAGTAGAGAAGGAGTTTTGCCATGTTGACCAGGACGGTCTGGATCTCCTGACCTCATGATCCACACCCCTTGGCCTCCCAGAGTGCTGGGATTACAGGTGTGAGCCACAGCCCCCGGCCTATATGAGTTTTCAAATAGTTTTTTCTAGCTCCGTAAAAAATTTCATTGGCAGTTTGATGGAAATAGTATTAAATCTGTAAATTTCTTTGTGAAGTATAGCCATTTTAGTGATATTGCATCTTCCTATCCGTGAGCATGGGATGGTTTTCCATTTGTTTGTATCTTCTCTGATTTCTTTGAGCAGTGTTTTGTAAATCTCATTGTAGAGCTCTTTCACCTCCCTGGTGAGCTGCATTTCCAGATATTTTATTATTTTAGTGGCAATTGTGAATGGGATGGCCTTTCTGATTTTGCTGTCAGTGTGGCTATCGTTGGTGTAGAAAAATGTTAGTGATCTTTGCACATTGATTTAGTATCTTGAAACTTTGCTGAAGCTGTTTGTTAACTAAAGAAGCTTTGTAGATGAAACTACAGGGTTTTCTAGATAGAGAATTATGTTATCTGCAAACAGAAATAGTTTGGCTTTCTCTCTTCCTATTTGGATGTTCTTCGGATTTCTTTCTCTAGCCTGATTGCTCTGGTCAGTACTGTCAATACTAAGTTGAATAGAAATGGCAAGAGAGGGCATTCTTGCCTTCTACTGGTTTTAAAAAATAATGTTCCCGGCTTTTGCCCATTCAACACATTGTTGGCTGTGGGTTTCTTATAGACGGCTTTTATTATTTTCTGCGTCTATTGAGATAATCATCTTTTTTTTGTTTTTAGTTCTGTTTATGTAATGTATTACATTTATTGATTTGCACATGATGGACCAACCTTGCGTCCTAAGGAGGAAGCCTACTTGATCATGACGGATTACCTGTTTGATGTGCTGCTGGATTTGCCTCCCAAATATTTTGTTGAGAACTTTTGTATTGATGTTCGTCAAGAATGTTGGCCTGAAGTTTTCTTTCCCTTCTTTCTTTTTTTTTTTTTTTTTGACGGTGTCTCCCTCTGTTGCCCAGGCTGGAGTGGATTGCACTGGCGCGATCTCTGCTTAATGCAATCTCTGCCTCCTGAGTTCACGCCATTCTCCTGCTTCAGCCTCCCAAGTAGCTGGGACTACAGGTGTCTGCTACCAAGCCCGGCTAATTTTTTGTGTTTTTGTTGTGTCTCTGCCTGTTTTGGTGTCAAGATCATGCTGTCCTCATAGAATGAGTTGGGGAGAAGACCCTCCTTCTCAATTTTTGGGTATAGTTTCTGTAGGAATTGTACCAGCTCTTCTTTGTACATTTGGTAGAATTTGGCTGTAAGTCCATAAAGTCCAGAGCTTTTTTTTTTGATTGGCAAGCTACTTATTACCTATTTAATATCAGAGTTTTTTACTGGTCTGTTCAGGAAATCATTGTCTTCCTGGCTTAATCTTGAGAGAGTGTGTATATCTAGGAATCTATTTATTTCGTTAAAGTTTTCTAGTTTGTGTGTATAAAGTTGTTCATGTTAGTGCTGTCCCCAGTTAAATAAAAACAACTATTAGAAACCACTAAAGTTTAACACTTGTTTTTATATCTTTAATCAATTTTTATTTAATTTTTCTACTTGGAATGTGATAAAGATTCAACTTTACTGGTTTAAATGTGGACTTGTTTTCCCAGCATTTCTTGTGTAACAAACTGTCTTTACATAATGATTAAGACACACTTTTAAAAAGACAAACAATAATTTATGAAAGGGTTTTTTGGAGTATCTATTTTATTTATTTGATCTCCACAATTGTTCTTATGCCACTATCAAACTGTTATAATTTTAGTAGCTTTTTATGTTTTCAAATTTAAAATTGTGAGCCACCTAATTTTGTCCTTCTTTTCAAGATTATTCTGTACATTCAGAGGATGTTCAAATTCCATATGAAGTTTTAAATGAGCTATTTTCTTTTTGCAGAAGAAAAGTTGGAAAAATGAAAACTTGGGATTACAGTACATCTGTACACTCCTTTGGGCAGTGGTATTGTCATCTTAACTTCATTAAATCTTCCGGTTCAGGAACATGGAATTTGTTGCCAGTTATTTAAGTCCTTTTTAGTTTTTTTCATAAACATTCTGATCCTGTATTTTTTATTGTACAAGATATTTACCTCCTTATTAAATTTATTGCTAAGAATTATATTATTTTAATGTTGTTGCGAACAATTGTTTTCTTAATTTACTGTCAAATTGTTAATTGTATATGGAAATGCAGTTTATGTTTCTGTGTTGTAAAAATAATTATTTCATGTCTCAAATCTAGATTAGCAATTCATTCAGAATAAATATGCTGTATATATTACTAGTCATTTAACTTTTTCCAATAAGCTAACCAATTTCAATATGTCTAAATATGTAAAAATGTTAAATTGTGTTAGATTTTTCACTTACTCTCACCTGTCATTTATCTGTCAGAATTACATTACTGCGCACTAGAACTTTCATTTCTGGGGCCGGGCACGGAGGCTCATGCCTATATTCCTAGCACTTTGTGAGGCCAAGGCAGGCGGACCACCTGAGATCAGGAGTTCGAGACCTGTCTGGCCAATATGGTAAAACCCCGCCTCTACTAAAAATACAAAAATAAGCTGAGCGTGGTCTTGGGAGACTGTATTCCCAGCTACTTTGGAGGCTGACACTGGAGAATCACTTGAACAATCCCACGACACAAAACAACCGAGGTTAGTCTTCATGTCGAAAGTCTTCAATGGATTGTCTTTTATCACAGGATTGCTTAGTGCAACATTTAATGGGAAAGATGCATGCTACTGAGATGTAGTTCTCCACAAGTCTCTTAGAGTTTGTTGTTTTGTTGTGGATTACATCACATACCTGTCCTGTTCCACGTTATTTTTCAAAGATTTTTGTACACAAATAACCTGGAAAAAGGGTAGTAGTTTTTCTCTTCAGGTGAATGGCAGATAAATTACTCAATCAATATAATAAAGACAATTTTTCTTTGTGACGCAAAGGTTGGACAGGCTTCCATGTAACCTACTTTAAAAAGATTGAGGTTTCTTAGTCTTGAGTCTGCTCAGCTATGACACAAATCTTCCCCATGTACAATGTCCATATGAGCCTTTTGAAATCCTTCAAAAAACGTAGTATGGACAAGGAGAACTAATACAAATATGAGGCTTTTGCCTCCAGGTAAGCAGTAAATAGTAGGTATTTTTTTTCATACTTCAGTGTCTCATGCCTTCTACCAGCATCGATGAAAATGGAAGGTTAATATGTTGTTTACAAATGCTATAAAATCTTAGATACGTCACAATTATTTAATTTTGGAGATGACTATGGCATGCTGAGATAAACACAACTTTCTGAAAGGGGAAAAGGAACAAATACTTGAAGAGCTTGCAAGGGATATGAGAAGTTCCCCCAGGACCAACAGCAAATTCTCTCGGCCAAGTGGTTAGTTTGGTGAAGCAAGAGATCAAGACTCTGCTGTCTGCTAATGAGACTGATCCTTGAGAGGATTATAACAATGAACCTGAGAGCTTTGCATGTTCACTTTTCTCCTGCTGGAAAATCAAGGAGCTCTTAAAGCTAATGTTGAGGTTTGGATGAGTCCAAAACAGTAGAAGTTCATGTGGTTCAGCTGTGAGCAGCAAAAAGACTGCAAAAAGCCACATTAAGCAGGTTTTGTAAGTCTCTCCTTTACCCACATGAAGGAACCCATTCCCTCTGCACTTCTAATTTTTGTCCTTTGTCTACAGCTAACTTCAGCAACTTTAAATATTAAACTACATACGATTGGAGGTTTGGATGGGGGAACACAAATGTATGTAGTTCCTTTGGATATATGTATCTAATTCACCATTCTGTGGAGTCCCTTAGGGTGCACAGGGAGATATAGGTGTTAGGGTGGCTGGAAATGCTGACAAACCTATCATTCTATTAATCCAGTTGCTTCCAGATAATGGAAAGCATGGTAAGTCCACTGACATCCGTGAAGATGAGCACACTGCTACACTTTGGCTGTGAAGTGAGTTTCTTGGTCTGAGCAATGCTAAGTGGAATATCATAGGGATGGATGAGGGATTCTGTGAGTCCATGGAGGGTAGTTTTGGCAGAATTCCACCCAGGGAAAGCAAATTTGTATCCATAGTAAGAGCCTACTCCAGTGAGTACAAACTGTTGCCGCCTATATTATAAAAGTTATTCAACGTAATAAATTTACTACCAGGTGCCTGGTGGATCACCCTGGAAATGATGTCATATCAAAGACTCAGTGTAGATCTGTGCTGCTGTCAAATTAAACATTCAGAATTGACTGTAGCCAGACTGGCCTTTGGGATTCAAAGTTCATATTGCTTAGCCCGTGCATTGCTTCTATTTCTGCTACTATGTTCACCTTGTTTATAAGCCCATTGGGTGATGATGGGGGTGACAGGGAAGTAAGAATGACCCATACTCACGGAACAAGACATTCTGTCCACATCATTATCAAAATCATGCTCTGATACGGTTACCCCTTAGTAGGGATTCATATAGAACAGACATATCTTTATGTAATTTACCCAGTGAGAGAAGTTTATCCACAAAAGTTTTTCTATTTTTTTTTTTTGCCAGGAATTTTGTAATCATGTTCCTTCCGTGTCATTGGTCATGTAGCCAATTCATGGGCCACAGCAGTGTTGCAGGAGTGAGTATCATAGGATCTCAAACTCCTGTTCTTAAGCAATCCTTGCCTCAACCTCTTAAGTAGCTGAGACTATAGGTGCACCCCACAACGCCTAACTAATTTTGTTTTATTTTTAGTAGAGATTAGATTTTGCTATGTTTTCCAGGCTGTTCTCACACTCCCCACCTCAAGCGATTCTCCCAGCTTTGCCTGCAAAGTGCTTTGACTAGAGTCAAACCTCCACACCCAGCACCTATAATTTGATATTTTAAACAATACTATGTAGCGAAAGCAATTACGAAGTTATCTAGGGAAAGAAAGCTCACTATCACAGTGTAAAATTGTATAGATATGATGCGGGCATGTGTGTATACATGCTTGCTTGTGTGCATAGGTGCGTGTTTTCTGAGAAATGGTACCTTATTGCTACCAGGCTAGGATAGCATTCATGTTCTTCTGAAGATGTCAAATATTGAAGCTCCAGGATTCATAGAACAAGATTCCTAAGTGGTTCACGAGAGGGTGAACGATTGAGTAATGGGTATTTTGGAAGAAACAACTGGCCTAGGGACAAGAATAAGTGTGCAAATCATCTGTGTGAAACACGCTTTCTTCGGAGCACGCATTTCATGCACTTCATTCTACTGTGACAGATATTGCTACTCTGAGTTTGGGAGAGATTGAACCTAGGGTCTACTGTGAAACTCTGTAGACTAGACTTCTGTCTGAGGCAGCCCCTGCCTGTAACCGTAACCTGCGCCAAACTCCAATGGAGCATTCTTCTCAATGGATAAATGGAAATTCCGGATGATCCGATGGGCAGAGAGTGCGACTGTTTTTTTCAGGAGCTCTGGTTGAATGGTTTTGGGGACTTTCTGGGAGGATGCTCTGCACCCAGAAAAGTAGTCCAACGGGAATCATGAGAAAATGGGCGACTCCGTGTGCCTCCGTCCCCTCCTACTTCCTCACCCACCCCTCCATCAGGGATCCCACGTATTCCAGGATGACACGTGTTTTAGTTGTCTTTGGGCGACAACTAGCGGCAACCGTTATTGAAAATGTAAGCTGTAGAGAACAAAAAAACTCTGGTCGCCTGTTCACAGCTCACTCACTGCAACGTTGAATCCTGGGCTTAAGCAATCCTCCTGCCTCAGCTTCCTGAGTAGCTGGAAATATAGGCATGTGCCACAATGCTGGGCAATATTTTTAAGTAGTGGTAATCTCTCTCGATGTGTTGCCCAGGTTAGTCTCAAACTCCTGTCCTCTATCCAGCCTCCCACCTTGGTCTTCAGAAGTCCTGGGATTACAGGCTTGAGCCACTGTGCTCACTCCTATAATTTGATGTTTTCAACAATACTATGTAGTGAAATGCATCACGAAGACATTTTGCAAAAGAAAGCTCACTATCACATATAAAGTTGTATACTTGTCATGTGCTTACGTGAGCGCATGTTCTTGCCTGTCTGAATGTTTTCTGAGAACTGATCATCTTTTCCCCAGGGACACTGGTTGAAGAGCTGCGGGGATTGTCTGGGAGGGTGTCTCGGGCCCGGAAACGTAATCCAGGAGAGATCAGAAGACCGGCGACCCCATGGGCCTCCATCTCTTTCTCCTTCCTTGACAACCCCTAAACCAGTGACCCCACTCATTCCAGGCTGGAACGTCGTTCGGTTGTCATTTGGCGTCACCTAGCGGTCACTGTTATTGAAAATGGAGGCATCACACCAAAACTTCTGGCCGCCCGCGCACAGCCAGGGAAAACTGGTTTCTCTCGGGCCCCACCCTGACCTCAGAGGCACTCCTTCTGTCCCTCCCCCTATGCCTTGTTGCCTAGGAAACCTCCACCCTGGCTGGGAATGCTTATTTCTTTATTTATTTAGAGACAGAGACAGTTTCGCTCTTGTAGCCCAGGTTGAAGTTCAATGGCGCCATCTCGGCTCACTGCAACCTCTGCCTCCTGGATTCAAGCGATTCTCCTGCCTCAGCCTCCCCACTAGCTGGTATTACATGTGCCTGCCTCTACTCCCAGCAAATTTTTGTATTTTTAGTAGGGACGTCATTTCGCCATGTTGGCCAGTCTGTTCTCGAAGTCCTGACTTCAGATGATCCACCCACCTCAGCCTCTTAAAGTGCTGAGTTTACAGAAATAAGCCAGGGCGCCTAGGCTATCATTTGTTTTTCTTTCTTCCTTTTTTTTTTTTTTTTTTTTTTTTAGTAAGCATGAACAGTTCTACCTGGGTTTTAAAAATTGTGTGTGTGAAAGAAAAATAAATCTTGAGGCTTCCAAATCACTAAAGTAAAGGGAAAAGTCAAGCTGGCAACTGTTTAGGGCCAACCTGCCATTCTATTCAAAGTCACTCCTCTGCTCTTTTCTCTTTTTTTTTTTCTTTTTTGAGATGGAGTCTCGCTCAGATGCTCAAGCTGGAGCCCAGTGGAGCAATCTCGGCTCACTGCAACATTCGCCTCCTGGTTTCAAGCGATAAATGTATATTTGATTGCCTCCTTTGGAGAGGCTAATTAGAAACTCCAAAGAATGCAACCATTTGTCTCTTAACTACCTTTGACCAGGAAGTCCCCTCCTCACTTTCAGTCTTCCCGCGTTTGCTAATTTGTCCCGCCTTTGCAGACCGAACCAATGTTCATCTTGCATACTTTGATTGATGTCTCATGTCTCCCTAGAATGTATAAAACGATAATGTTCTCTGTTTACCTTAGGCACATGTCCTCAGAACCTCCTGAGGCTGTCACGGGTATGCGTCCTGAACCTTGGTTACGTAAACTTTCTAAATTAACTGAGACCTCTCTCAAGTTTTCAGGGTTCACAACGGAAAGTGCATTGTAGCTCCACCCTAGGGCTTACCATTAAGAAAAACTATCCTAAATCTCTGCAGATACAGTCAAACCGGTTGTATGTAAACTGTATGAAACTAAATGCACTTATTACAAGTAAATGAATAAATGCTGAGAAAAAAAATCATGAACCGCTCACCTTTCAAAGAAGCAATAATACTATGAATTATGTGTAATTTCCAGAGTCAGCTAGTTTCAAAATTGTCCCCACTAAACTTGGAAAGGTTCCAGAGTGAGCTATTGTGTCTCCAGCCTTTGCTCCTCCCCCTTCTTTCCCCTGCGCCCTCCCCTCAACCTTTGCCGGCAATCACATTCTCTGATTCTGCAAAAGCAGGTGGGAGCCCTAGAGAGAGTTCTCGTTTTTTTTTTTTTTTTTTTTCTTTTTTGAGATGGAGTCTCGCTTAGAGGCTCAGGATGGAGCCCAATGGAGCAATCTCGGCTCACTGCAACATCCGCTTCCTGGTTTCAGGCGATTCTACTGCCTCAGCCTACCGAGGAGCTGGGTTAACAGGCACCCGTTATTATGCCCAGCTAATTTTTGTATTTTCATAGAGACAGGGTTTAACCATGTTGGCCACGCTGGACTCGAACTCCTGCCATCAGGTGATCCGTCAGCCTCAGCCTTTCAATGTGCCGGGATTACAGGCGTGAGCCACTGTGGCCAGCGAGTTCTCTTTTCTTTGTGAAGGGCAAGGCAAAGTGGAATGGATTCATCTAAAAGCGGAGTGCATGCCCTGGAAAACATCATGGTTAGACCCATGTGAGACAGGTTAGTTTTACTGCGTGTGTTCTCCATGTGTTGTTGCCCATGTGTTGCTACCATGGTAATCCTGCTGAGTATGAGAGGAATCAAAGTTTCACACATTTGGTGTATGTGCTTGACTGAGGAACCAATGGGGTGAAGCTACCATCTGTGGGATTATGACTGAACGCCTCTAAATCAGAATCCCGCCCAGAAGAAAGGATGCAGCAGCGCTGGCAAGACTCGGTTGGCCTCAGATAGCCAGTCCCCAGCCTTTGCCACCGGCCGGACGCTCCGCCCCGCTGTGCGCCAAGACCTTGCTCCGGTCTTATCATCCTAAAAAATGGGGTGCGGCCCCCCATCCTAAAAAACGGGGTGCGGCCAGAAAGGCGTTTGCTCCCTGGCCCGTCACATAACATGCTTATGGGGAATCTGATACTAAACTATTGGTAAACGCCCTGCTTCTGGGTCAGGGTTTCCTATGGAGCAGAGCAACTCCCTCACTGCAACCTATTGAAAGTCAGCCCTCCACACAAGGGGCTCTCAACCAGTGTGCGGGAAAACTAGCGTTGTGGCGTGTCCTGTATAATTCAGCCCTGGACCTCTACCTTCCTTCTTTCCTCCTTTTGCCCCCGGGGACTTAGTTCCCGGGCCTGCTCAGGCCCCCCGCCCCGGAGCCCCAGGGCATGCAGGGCTGTCTCTCGCGAGATAACATTGGCGTCGGCCGTGCATTTGGGAGGGGTCGTTCCCCAACAGCAGGCTTTCCAAGATGCAGCGCTGGGGGTTGCGAGGTAGGGTTGGCGCCCCTGCTCGATGTTCCACCTCTCTGATTGAGCTTCTTTCTCCCATCCCGCTGGGAATTCCTCCACGAGTTGGGACCGGATTCTTCGAGCCTCGTGCGAATGGCTGAGGCGCGGGTGTCAGAGGTTTTGCCCCTGCAGTCCCTGCCTGAGTAGTGTTCGCGCGATGCCCGTGGGTGGCTGTTGGGGTCACAGTCCCTCTCCCCGCCTCAGGGGTGCTGGGATGAAAGACTAGCTAGTCACTACCCTTGTGTCTTTACTCCTCTTCTCTGTCCGGGTCAACCAGCGGACTGCGGGGAAATGGCTGGCAGGTCTGCCAAGTTAGACGGCCTCAAACCTGGGCCGGTTCTGTGTGATAAGGTTCCAACTGCGTCTGATCGCTTCCCTCCGCGAGCACCACATTTGGTCTTTAGGGTGGACCCTGTCGATTAGATGCTGGCCTTTGGCTTCCCGATCAGCCCGCGAATCAGCCGACTGCGGGAAGCAAGCAACATCCAGTTGACACGGCCGCGGGCTTCTCTGTCTGGAAGACCTGGGACCAGGGCCTAAGGCCCCAGTCCTCAGGTCTCTGGTCGCCGTGCCCACCTGATGTCCGCGGCAAGCGTTGGACTTGACCGTCAACTTGGGATTTCTAAGGTAGACCAGATAACTTTGGTCAGCAGCAGTACCGCCCGCATTCACTAGGTGTCGCTTTTTCCTTGCGTTGTTTCTTCCTCTCCAACTGTTTCCACAGTACTTTCAGTTTCTCTTCGTTTTGTTTTTCTTTTATTTTTCTTGCTCCTCTTTCTACACACTGAAGTTGCTGTTGTTTTACATTTACCTTTTATTTATTTGTAGTTTTTGAGGCAGGTTGGAGTGTAAGAATGCAATCTCGGCTTACAGCCGCCTCGACTTTCCAGGACTCCCTCAGGTGATCTTCCTATCTCAGCCTTCCAAGTGGCTGAGACTACAGGAATCACTTAATTCTGTGATGTCGAAGCTGAAGTGAGCCGTGATGATGCCTTGCCCTCCAGTCTGAGTGTTTCAGAAGGTAAGAGAGACAGGTTAAAGAAAAAAATTCCTTGAAATAAACTGCAATTAACTGTGATCTAAATTACCTTTTATAGTTTTTCACTCCCACGAGTTTGTTTATTATTATTGCTGCTTATTATTTCTTTGTATTATTGTTTGTCATTATTGTTATTGTTTTTATTATTTATGTAATTATTTAGAGATGGAGTCTTCCTCTATCACCCAGAGTGCAGTGCAGTGGCGCGACTTTGGGTCACTGCAGCTTCAAATGCCTGGGTTCAAATTCGCAATATGGCGAAACACCCTGTTTACTAAAATCTGTCAATGACACCTTCAGGACCGTTGGTTGTGGCGGCTGCAATTTCGGAGGCTGAGGAGGGCAGTTCGCTAGAGCTCGGGAGTTCAAGACAGCCTCGGAAACAGACTGCAGAGCATTTGTCTGACCAAGACCCGCTGCAGCCTCCACCTCCCGACCCCAAGCGATGTTCTCAACTCAGGCTCCAAAGGATCTGGGACCACAGGCGCCTGCCATCATAATGCCCGGATTTTTTTCTTTTCTTTTCTTTTTCAGTAGAGACGGGGTCTCACTGTGTTGCCAGGGCTGGTCTCAAAGTCCTAGGCTCTAGCAATTCTTCCAACTCAGCCTCCCAAAGTGCTGGGATTATAGGTGTGAGCCACAATGCCCTGCCCTCTTTTTTATTTCCTTCATTTTTTCTCTTTTTTTCTTTCTCTTTCTTTCTGTCTTTTCTTTTTCTTCTCTCTTTTTCTTCCTCCCTTTTTTCTCTCATTTCTCATTCTTTTTTTTTCTGTTTCTATGTCTTTTGGTTTTCTTTTTCATCTTTCTTCCCTTTACATCTCTGTCTGTCTATTTTCTTTTTCTTGATCTTCCTTACTCTCTCTCTCTTTTCTTCATTTCTTTCTTTCCATCCCTCTGTCTGTCTGTCTTTGTGTGGATTTTGGAAAATTCTCCTTATTCTGTATCTCCCTGTGTATCACAAGCCTCTGTGACTTTCACTTTGTTGTTTTTCCTCCTTGTCGCGTAAAAGGCATTCACTGCTCTTTTATTTTGATGCTCTGTGGATGTTCGAAGGGTGGGGAAAAAGTGGTCCACGAATGTGATTGGTTTCATGAGAGACACGAGAGACAAAAGAACATATGATGATTACTTCGCTAAATGCCCTGTTTATTCTTTCAACTGCACTCATACAAGTAAGGACGCAGTTGGTGGGTTGAGAGATCTCTGTGTAGTCATGACTCTGCAATTATACTTGACGAGAGCGGTGATGATGAACGGGCGGCATGGAAACCTGCCCTTCTTTGGTGTCAGTTGAGCACAGTGAGAAGAGATTCACAATGGCCTGTATCTCAACCTGATGGTACTGTGTTTCTGCTCTGATCTTTAGGAATGAGAGAAGCATTCCCGTGCATTCCTGCAACGTCCTTGAAGTTTTCTTTTTAAACTTTTCGATTAACTAACGTATTTATTAATTTATTTGAGATGGAGTCTTGTTCTGTTGGTCAGGCCATGGCGCAGTATCGGGCCACTGCAACCTCCGCCTCCCAGGTTCCAGCGATTCTCTTGCCTTAGCCTCTCGAGTAGCTGGGATAACAGGCACGTGCCACCATACCCAGCTAACTTTTACCTTTTTAGTAAAGACAGGGTTTTCCCATGTTGCCCAGGCTGGTCTTGAACTCCAACTTCCAGGAATCCTGTGGCCTCGTCCTCCCAAAGTGCTGGGAGATCCCAGGTCATCAGACTCGAGAAAGAATGTTGGTTGATATAGAAAGGCGAGACACACTGCGCCCGACCCAAATTGCTATTTTTAAAAATAAACCAGTAGGCTGGGTGCAGTGGGCCACTCCTCTCATCTCAGCAGTTTGCTAGGCGGATGTGGGAGGATTACGAGGTCAGGAGTTTGAGACCAGCCTGGCCAACATAGTCAAACTCTGTCTGTATGAAGAATACAAAAATTAACCAGGTGTGGTGTCACACACCTCTACTCCCAGCTACTCTATATGCTGAGGTAGTAGAATCTGTTGAAGCCGGGAGATGGAGATTGCAGTCAGCCCAGATCATGCCACTGGACTCCAGCTTGGGTGACAGAGTCAGATTCCATCTAAAAAAAAAAAAAGTAATTAAAAATAAGTGAGTTTCCAAGAAGAAATAGAAACCCGCAGTGACACAAACATATGCATCTCACCTTTCGAGGCAGCAATGACACTACAAACTTGTAAACTCAGTTCATTTCTTGACTGCGGACCATGGGTATTTGTGATGCTTCCTCTTGGAACATAGTTCTGTGTGACACCATACCCAGCTAACATTTGCCTTTTTAGTAGTCAGAATTTTGCTATATTGCCCAGACTGCTCTTGAACTCATGAACTCCAGGTATCCGCCCGCCCAAAAAAAAGAGTTGTGATGAAAGGAGACACACAGATGGATTTCAGCCCTTAAAATGGTGCATGCTGCCACATTTCACAGATCTTCCCTGGGCCTTACTGGTATTTGCCCAACATAGAAATGCTTTCTAAAAAGTGACAATTTGCTTACATAATATTTCCACAAGCGATGCCTTGGTCTGTGTTTGTTTTTACGTTTTGTTTTGTTTGTAGTTTTTACTTTACTTATCTCTTTTCAGTTGAAGTAGATTTTACCAATTTTAGGAAGATGTGTATTTTCCCCAAAACCTGTTAGCTGGTGTTTTCTTCGGTCATTAAGTAGCGATTTTCGGAATCTCTCAAGGTACAGTGAGAGCCGATTGGTATAAACTATACTTCATAAAATCTTCTTTCCTTTTCATTTTTTTTTTTTTTTTTTTTGTCTTTCAGGTGGAGTTTCGCTCTTATTGCCCAGGCTGGAGTTCAGTGGCGTGACCTCAGCTCACCGCAACCTCTGCCGCCTGTGTTCAAGAGATTTTCCAGTCTTCACCCTTTCGAGTAGCTGAAACCACAGGCAAACACCTCCAGGCCTGGCTAATTTTTTTTTTTTCATAGAGACTAGGTAGCTCCATAATGGTCAGGCTGGTCTAGAACACCCAACCTGAGGCGTACCACCCAACTTGACCACCCAAAGTGCTGAGATTAAAGGCGTGAGCTCCGCGTCTGGCCATAACATCTTATCCTATAGAAGCCCAGAGAGGTTAGGTATGTAGTCCCTGAGACCAGCCTTCCTTGGATGAACTCCAAAGTGATGGCTGAGGATTAGGGAGTGTGGGGTGGGGGCTGGAAAGTCGGTCCCCTATTGTTGCTACCTAGGCCATGACATCCCCAGACTCCCATCGCCTGCTCACCGTTTGAGATTCCCCCCCACCACCGCCTTGGTGGCTGAACTCTTACTTTAATTTCTGTCTTTCTTCGTTTGTTGGGTTTCAGGAGGGGGTGCAGGAAAGACGGTGTGCGTGGGGAGGGGGTGTAGGGTGGGGATGGAGGGGAGCGTCCTAAGGGTCGATGTAGTGTCATGCCTCTTTCATCACCACCACCGAAGATGAAACAATAATCATCTAAATACCGCGTGTTCTCACACATAAGTGGGAACTACATAATGAGAATGCATGCGAAGAACTAGGGGGACGAGAGACGCAGGAGCCTACCTGAGGGAGGACGTGTGGAAGGACAGACAGCTTCAGGACAAAGCAAAACGAGCAGAACACAAAAACTGTAGGGGACTGCGCTGAGAATCCGGGTGAGGAAATCATCGGCACACTGAACCCCCTACTCAGAAGTTTACCTATGAAACAATCTTGCACATGTATGCTTCAAAAACAAATAACAGTTAGGGAAGAAAGAGAGAGAGAGAGAAAGAGAGAGAGACAAGTAAAATAAAGCACCACCTCCTTGACCTGACTCAGGGCGTTTGGGGTCTTCTGGGGAAATGTTCTGAAACAATGGAGTATTTTGGTCTGTTCTTTCTTGTGTCTTTTTTTTTTTTTTTAAGACGGACTCTCGCTCAGCCACCCAGGCTGGAATGCAGTGGTGCACTGGGTTCACTGCAGCAAATATCTCCCGGGTTGAAGCGATTCTCCAGTCTCATCCTCCTGAGTGGCCGGGATTACAGTCACGCGCCATAATGCCCTGCTAATTTTTGAACATTAGTAGAGAAGGGGTATTGCCATGCTTGCGACGCTGGACTTGAAGGCAAAATGAAAATGAAAATGAAACGCAACAAAATAATTAAAAAGTGAGTTTCTGGGGAAAAAGAAGAAAAGAAAAAAGAAAAAAACAACAAAACAGAACAACCCCACCGTGACGTACACATACGCCTCTCGCCTTTCGAGGCCTCAAACACGTTAGGAATTATGCGTGATTTCTTTTTTTAACTTCATTTTATGTTATTATCGTGATTGATGTTTCGAGACGGAGTCTCGGAGGCCCGCCCTCCCTGGTTGCCCAGACAACCCCGGGAGACAGACCCTGGCTGGGCCCGATTGTTCTTCTCCTTGGTCAGGGGTTTCCTTGTCTTTCTTCGTGTCTTTAACCCGCGTGGACTCTTCCGCTCGGGTTTGACAGATGGCAGCTCCACTTTAGGCCTTGTTGTTGTTGGGGACTTTCCTGATTCTCCCCAGATGTAGTGAAAGCAGGTAGATTTGCCTTGCCTGGCCTTGCCTGGCCTTGCCTTTTCTTTCTTTCTTTCTTTCTTTATTACTTTCTCTTTTTCTTCTTCTTCTTCTTCTTTTTTTTGAGACAGAGTTTCACTCTTGTTGCCCAGGCTAGAGGGCAATGGCGCGATCTCGGCTCACCGCACCCTCCGCCTCCCAGGTTCAAGCGATTCTCCTGCCTCAGCCTCCTGATTAGCTGGGATTACAGGCATGGGCCACCGTGCCTGGCTGATGTTTGTACTTTTAGTAGAGACGGTGTTTTTCCATGTTGGTCAGGCTGGTCTCCCACTCCCAACCTCAGGTGGTCCGCCTGCCTTAGCCTCCCAAAGTGCTGGGATGACAGGCGTGAGCCACCGCGCCCAGCCTCTCTCTCTCTCTCTCTCTCTCTCTCTCTCTCGCTCGCTTGCTTGCTTGCTTTCGTGCTTTCTTCCTTTCCCGTTTTCTTTCTTTCTTTCTTTCTTTCGTTTCTTTCATGCTTGCTTTCTTGCTTGCTTGCTTGCTTTCGTGCTTTCTTGCTTTCCTGTTTTCTTTCTTTCTTTCTTTCTTTTGTTTCTTTCTTGCTTGCTTTCTTGCTTGCTTGCTTGCTTTCGTGCTTTCTTGCTTTCCTGTTTTCTTTCTTTCTTTCTTTCTTTTCTTTCTTTCTTGCTTGCTTTCCTGCTTGCTTGCTTTCGTGCTTTCTTGTTTTCTCGATTTCTTTCTTTCTTTTGTTTCTTTCCTGCTTGCTTTCTTGCTTGCTTGCTTTCGTGCTTTCTTGCTTTCCTGTTTTCTTTCTTTCTTTCTTTCTTTTGTTTCTTTCTTGCTTGCTTTCTTGCTTGCTTGCTTTCGTGCTTTCTTGTTTTCTCGATTTCTTTCTTTCTTTTGTTTCTTTCCTGCTTGCTTTCTTGCTTGATTGCTTTCGTGCTTTCTTGCTTTCTTGTTTTCTTTCTTTCTTTTGTTTCTTTCTTTCTTGCTTCCTTGTTTTCTTGCTTTCTTGCTTGCTTGCTTTCGTGCTTTCTTGTTTTCTTGCTTTCTTTCTTTTGTTTCTTTCTTGCTTGCTTTCTTGCTTCCTTGTTTTCTTGCTTTCTTGCTTGCTTGCTTTCGTGCTTTCTTGCTTTCTTTTCTTTCTTTCTTTTCTTTTTCTTTCTTTCTTTCTTTCTTGCTTTCTTTTCTTTCATTCATTCCTTCTTTCTTTTCTTTCTTTCTTCCTTCCTTCCTTCCTTCCTTCCTTTCTTTCTTTCTTTCTGTTTCGTCCTTTTGAGACAGAGTTTCACTCTTGTTTCCACGGCTAGAGTGCAATGGCGCGGTCTTGGCTCACCGCACCTTCCGCCTCCCGGGTTCGAGCGCTTCTCCTGCCTCAGCCTCCCGATTAGCGGGGATTACAGGGAGGCACCCCCACGCCTGGCTTGGCTGATGTTTGTGTTTTTAGTAGGCACGCCGTGTCTCTCCATGTTGCTCAGGCTGGTCTCCAACTCCCGACCTCCTGTGATGCGCCCACCTCGGCCTCTCGAAGTGCTGGGATGACGGGCGTGAGCCACCGTGCCCGGCCTGTTGACTCATTTCGCTTTTTTATTTCTTTCGTTTCCACGCGTTTACTTATATGTATTAATGTAAACGTTTCTGTACGCTTATATGCAAACAACGACAACGTGTATCTCTGCATTGAATACTCTTGCGTATGGTAAATACGTATCGGTTGTATGGAAATAGACTTCTGTATGATAGATGTAGGTGTCTGTGTTATACAAATAAATACACATCGCTCTATAAAGAAGGGATCGTCGATAAAGACGTTTATTTTACGTATGAAAAGCGTCGTATTTATGTGTGTAAATGAACGAGCGTACGTAGTTATCTCTGTTTTCTTTCTTCCTCTCCTTCGTGTTTTTCTTCCTTCCTTTCTTCCTTTCTCTCCTTCTTTAGGTTTTTCTTCCTCTCTTCCTTTCCTTCTTTCTCTCTTTCTGTCCTTTTTTCCTTCGTGCTTTATTTCTCTTTCGTTCCCTGTGTTTCCTTCTTTTTTCTTTCCTCTCTGTTTCTTTTTCCCTTCTTTCCTTCGTTTCTTTCCTCATTCTTTCTCTCTTTTTCGTGTTTCTTTCCTTCCCGTCTGTCTTTTAAAAAATGGAGTGTTTCAGAAGTTTACTTTGTGTATCTACGTTTTCTAAATTGTCTCTCTTTTCTCCATTGTCTTCCTCCCTCCCTCCCTCCCTCCCTCCCTGCTCCCTTCCCTCCCTCCTTCCCTTTCGCCATCTGTCTCTTTTCCCCACTCCCCTCCCCCCGTCTGTCTCTGCGTGGATTCCGGAAGAGCCTACGCATTCTGCCTCTCCGTGTGTCTGCAGCGACCCGCGACCGAGTCCTTGTGTGTTCTTTCTCCCTCCCTCCCTCCCTCCCTCCCTCCCTCCCTGCTTCCGAGAGGCATCTCCAAACACCCACGCGCCGTGGGTTGTCTTCTGACTCTGTCGCGGTCGAGGCAGAGACGCGTTTTGGGCACCGTTTGTGTGGGGTTGGGGCAGAGGGGCTGCGTTTTCGGCCTCGGGAAGAGCTTCTCGACTCACGGTTTCGCTTTCGCGGTCCACGGGCCGCCCTGCCAGCCGGATCTGTCTCGCTGACGTCCGCGGCGGTTGTCGGGCTCCATCTGGCGGCCGCTTTGAGATCGTGCTCTCGGCTTCCGGAGCTGCGGTGGCAGCTGCCGAGGGAGGGGACCGTCCCCGCTGTGAGCTAGGCAGAGCTCCGGAAAGCCCGCGGTCGTCAGCCCGGCTGGCCCGGTGGCGCCAGAGCTGTGGCGCGTCGCTTGTGAGTCACAGCTCTGGCGTGCAGGTTTATGTGGGGGAGAGGCTGTCGCTGCGCTTCTGGGCCCGCGGCGGGCGTGGGGCTGCCCGGGCCGGTCGACCAGCGCGCCGTAGCTCCCGAGGCCCGAGCCGCGACCCGCGGGGACCCGCCGCGCGTGGCGCGGGAGGCTGGGGACGCCCTTCCCGGCCCGGTCGCGGGTCCGCGCTCATCCTGGCCGTCTGAGGCGGCGGCCGAATTCGTTTCCGAGTCCCCGTGGGGAGCCGGGGACCGTCCCGCCCCCGTCCCCCGGGTGCCGGGGAGCGGTCCCTCTGCCGCGATCCTTTCTGGCGAGTCCCCGTGCGGAGTCGGAGAGCGCTCCCTGAGCGCGCGTGCGGCCCGAGAGGTCGCGCCTGGCCGGCCTTCGGTCCCTCGTGTGTCCCGGTCGTAGGAGGGGCCGGCCGAAAATGCTTCCGGCTCCCGCTCTGGAGACACGGGCCGGCCCCCTGCGTGTGGCACGGGCGGCCGGGAGGGCGTCCCCGGCCCGGCGCTGCTCCCGCGTGTGTCCTGGGGTTGACCAGAGGGCCCCGGGCGCTCCGTGTGTGGCTGCGATGGTGGCGTTTTTGGGGACAGGTGTCCGTGTCGCGCGTCGCCTGGGCCGGCGGCGTGGTCGGTGACGCGACCTCCCGGCCCCGGGGGAGGTATATCTTTCGCTCCGAGTCGGCATTTTGGGCCGCCGGGTTATTGCTGACACGCTGTCCTCTGGCGACCTGTCGCTGGAGAGGTTGGGCCTCCGGATGCGCGCGGGGCTCTGGCCTACCGGTGACCCGGCTAGCCGGCCGCGCTCCTGCTTGAGCCGCCTGCCGGGGCCCGCGGGCCTGCTGTTCTCTCGCGCGTCCGAGCGTCCCGACTCCCGGTGCCGGCCCGGGTCCGGGTCTCTGACCCACCCGGGGGCGGCGGGGAAGGCGGCGAGGGCCACCGTGCCCCCGTGCGCTCTCCGCTGCGGGCGCCCGGGGCGGCCGCGACAACCCCACCCCGCTGGCTCCGTGCCGTGCGTGTCAGGCGTTCTCGTCTCCGCGGGGTTGTCCGCCGCCCCTTCCCCGGAGTGGGGGGTTGGCCGGAGCCGATCGGCTCGCTGGCCGGCCGGCCGGCCTCCGCTCCCGGGGGGCTCTTCGTGATCGATGTGGTGACGTCGTGCTCTCCCGGGCCGGGTCCGAGCCGCGACGGGCGAGGGGCGGACGTTCGTGGCGAACGGGACCGTCCTTCTCGCTCCGCCCCGCGGGGGTCCCCTCGTCTCTCCTCTCCCCGCCCGCCGGCGGTGCGTGTGGGAAGGCGTGGGGTGCGGACCCCGGCCCGACCTCGCCGTCCCGCCCGCCGCCTTCTGCGTCGCGGGTGCGGGCCGGCGGGGTCCTCTGACGCGGCAGACAGCCCTCGCTGTCGCCTCCAGTGGTTGTCGACTTGCGGGCGGCCCCCCTCCGCGGCGGTGGGGGTGCCGTCCCGCCGGCCCGTCGTGCTGCCCTCTCGGGGGGTTTGCGCGAGCGTCGGCTCCGCCTGGGCCCTTGCGGTGCTCCTGGAGCGCTCCGGGTTGTCCCTCAGGTGCCCGAGGCCGAACGGTGGTGTGTCGTTCCCGCCCCCGGCGCCCCCTCCTCCGGTCGCCGCCGCGGTGTCCGCGCGTGGGTCCTGAGGGAGCTCGTCGGTGTGGGGTTCGGGGCGGTTTGAGTGAGACGAGACGAGACGCGCCCCTCCCACGCGGGGAAGGGCGCCCGCCTGCTCTCGGTGAGCGCACGTCCCGTGCTCCCCTCTGGCGGGTGCGCGCGGGCCGTGTGAGCGATCGCGGTGGGTTCGGGCCGGTGTGACGCGTGCGCCGGCCGGCCGCCGAGGGGCTGCCGTTCTGCCTCCGACCGGTCGTGTGTGGGTTGACTTCGGAGGCGCTCTGCCTCGGAAGGAAGGAGGTGGGTGGACGGGGGGGCCTGGTGGGGTTGCGCGCACGCGCGCACCGGCCGGGCCCCCGCCCTGAACGCGAACGCTCGAGGTGGCCGCGCGCAGGTGTTTCCTCGTACCGCAGGGCCCCCTCCCTTCCCCAGGCGTCCCTCGGCGCCTCTGCGGGCCCGAGGAGGAGCGGCTGGCGGGTGGGGGGAGTGTGACCCACCCTCGGTGAGAAAAGCCTTCTCTAGCGATCTGAGAGGCGTGCCTTGGGGGTACCGGATCCCCCGGGCCGCCGCCTCTGTCTCTGCCTCCGTTATGGTAGCGCTGCCGTAGCGACCCGCTCGCAGAGGACCCTCCTCCGCTTCCCCCTCGACGGGGTTGGGGGGGAGAAGCGAGGGTTCCGCCGGCCACCGCGGTGGTGGCCGAGTGCGGCTCGTCGCCTACTGTGGCCCGCGCCTCCCCCTTCCGAGTCGGGGGAGGATCCCGCCGGGCCGGGCCCGGCGTCCCAGCGGGTTGGGACGCGGCGGCCGGCGGGCGGTGGGTGTGCGCGCCCGGCGCTCTGTCCGGCGCGTGACTCCCTCCGCCGCGAGTCGGCTCTCCGCCCGCTCCCGTGCCGAGTCGTGACCGGTGCCGACGACCGCGTTTGCGTGGCACGGGGTCGGGCCCGCCTGGCCCTGGGAAAGCGTCCCACGGTGGGGGCGCGCCGGTCTCCCGGAGCGGGACCGGGTCGGAGGATGGACGAGAATCACGAGCGACGGTGGTGGTGGCGTGTCGGGTTCGTGGCTGCGGTCGCTCCGGGGCCCCCGGTGGCGGGGCCCCGGGGCTCGCGAGGCGGTTCTCGGTGGGGGCCGAGGGCCGTCCGGCGTCCCAGGCGGGGCGCCGCGGGACCGCCCTCGTGTCTGTGGCGGTGGGATCCCGCGGCCGTGTTTTCCTGGTGGCCCGGCCGTGCCTGAGGTTTCTCCCGGAGCCGCCGCCTCTGCGGGCTCCCGGGTGCCCTTGCCCTCGCGGTCCCCGGCCCTCGCCCGTCTGTGCCCTCTTCCCCGCCCGCCGCCCGCCGATCCTCTTCTTCCCCCCGAGCGGCTCACCGGCTTCACGTCCGTTGGTGGCCCCGCCTGGGACCGAACCCGGCACCGCCTCGTGGGGCGCCGCCGCCGGCCACTGATCGGCCCGGCGTCCGCGTCCCCCGGCGCGCGCCTTGGGGACCGGGTCGGTGGCGCCCCGCGTGGGGCCCGGTGGGCTTCCCGGAGGGTTCCGGGGGTCGGCCTGCGGCGCGTGCGGGGGAGGAGACGGTTCCGGGGGACCGGCCGCGACTGCGGCGGCGGTGGTGGGGGGAGCCGCGGGGATCGCCGAGGGCCGGTCGGCCGCCCCGGGTGCCGCGCGGTGCCGCCGGCGGCGGTGAGGCCCCGCGCGTGTGTCCCGGCTGCGGTCGGCCGCGCTCGAGGGTCCCGTGCGTCCCCTTTCCCCGCCGGCCGCCTTTCTCGCGCCTTCCCCGTCGCCCCGCCTCGCCGTGGTCTCTCGTCTTCTCCCGGCCCGCTCTTCCGAACCGGGTCGGCGCGTCCCCCGGGTGCGCTCGCTTCCCGGGCCTGCCGCGGCCCTTTCCCCGAGGCGTCCGTCCCGGGCGTCGGCGTCGGGGAGAGCCCGTCCTCCCCGCGTGGCGTCGCCCGTTCGGCGCGCGCGTGCCCGAGCCGGCCCGGTGGTCCCTCCCGGACAGGCGTTCGTGCGACGTGTGGCGTGGGTCGACCTCCGCCTTGCCGGTCGCTCGCCCTCTCCCCGGGTCGGGGGGTGGGGCCCGGGCCGGGCCTCGGCCCCGGTCGCGGTCCCCCGTCCCGGGCGGGGCGGGCGCGCCGGCCGGCCTCGGTCGCCCTCCCTTGGCCGTCGTGTGGCGTGTGCCACCCCTGCGCCGCGCCGCCGGCGGGGCTCGGAGCCGGGCTTCGGACGGCCCCGGGCACTCGACCGGACCGGTGCGCGGGCGCTGCGGCGCACGGCGCGACTGTCCCCGGGCCGGGCACCGCGGTCCGCCTCTCGCTCGCGCCCGGACGTCGGGTGCCCGCGGGGCGGCGGAGCGCCGTCCCCGCCTGCGCGCGCCCGCGGGCGCCATGCGCGCGCGCGTGGCCGCCGGTCCCTCCCGGCCGCCGGGCGCGGGTCGGGCCGTCCGCCTCCTCGCGGGCGGGCGCGACGAAGAAGCGTCGCGGGTCTGTGGCGCGGGGCCCCGGTGGTCGTGTCGCGTGGGGGGCGGGTGGTTGGGGCGTCCGGTTCGCCGCGCCCCGCCCCGGCCCCACCGGTCCCGGCCGCCGCCCCCGCGCCCGCTCGCTCCCTCCCGTCCGCCCGTCCGCGGCCCGTCCGTCCGTCCGTCCGTCGTCCTCCTCGCTTGCGGGGCGCCGGGCCCGTCCTCGCGAGGCCCCCCGGCCGGCCGTCCGGCCGCGTCGGGGCCTCGCCGCGCTCTACCTTACCTACCTGGTTGATCCTGCCAGTAGCATATGCTTGTCTCAAAGATTAAGCCATGCATGTCTAAGTACGCACGGCCGGTACAGTGAAACTGCGAATGGCTCATTAAATCAGTTATGGTTCCTTTGGTCGCTCGCTCCTCTCCTACTTGGATAACTGTGGTAATTCTAGAGCTAATACATGCCGACGGGCGCTGACCCCCTTCGCGGGGGGGATGCGTGCATTTATCAGATCAAAACCAACCCGGTCAGCCCCTCTCCGGCCCCGGCCGGGGGGCGGGCGCCGGCGGCTTTGGTGACTCTAGATAACCTCGGGCCGATCGCACGCCCCCCGTGGCGGCGACGACCCATTCGAACGTCTGCCCTATCAACTTTCGATGGTAGTCGCCGTGCCTACCATGGTGACCACGGGTGACGGGGAATCAGGGTTCGATTCCGGAGAGGGAGCCTGAGAAACGGCTACCACATCCAAGGAAGGCAGCAGGCGCGCAAATTACCCACTCCCGACCCGGGGAGGTAGTGACGAAAAATAACAATACAGGACTCTTTCGAGGCCCTGTAATTGGAATGAGTCCACTTTAAATCCTTTAACGAGGATCCATTGGAGGGCAAGTCTGGTGCCAGCAGCCGCGGTAATTCCAGCTCCAATAGCGTATATTAAAGTTGCTGCAGTTAAAAAGCTCGTAGTTGGATCTTGGGAGCGGGCGGGCGGTCCGCCGCGAGGCGAGCCACCGCCCGTCCCCGCCCCTTGCCTCTCGGCGCCCCCTCGATGCTCTTAGCTGAGTGTCCCGCGGGGCCCGAAGCGTTTACTTTGAAAAAATTAGAGTGTTCAAAGCAGGCCCGAGCCGCCTGGATACCGCAGCTAGGAATAATGGAATAGGACCGCGGTTCTATTTTGTTGGTTTTCGGAACTGAGGCCATGATTAAGAGGGACGGCCGGGGGCATTCGTATTGCGCCGCTAGAGGTGAAATTCTTGGACCGGCGCAAGACGGACCAGAGCGAAAGCATTTGCCAAGAATGTTTTCATTAATCAAGAACGAAAGTCGGAGGTTCGAAGACGATCAGATACCGTCGTAGTTCCGACCATAAACGATGCCGACCGGCGATGCGGCGGCGTTATTCCCATGACCCGCCGGGCAGCTTCCGGGAAACCAAAGTCTTTGGGTTCCGGGGGGAGTATGGTTGCAAAGCTGAAACTTAAAGGAATTGACGGAAGGGCACCACCAGGAGTGGAGCCTGCGGCTTAATTTGACTCAACACGGGAAACCTCACCCGGCCCGGACACGGACAGGATTGACAGATTGATAGCTCTTTCTCGATTCCGTGGGTGGTGGTGCATGGCCGTTCTTAGTTGGTGGAGCGATTTGTCTGGTTAATTCCGATAACGAACGAGACTCTGGCATGCTAACTAGTTACGCGACCCCCGAGCGGTCGGCGTCCCCCAACTTCTTAGAGGGACAAGTGGCGTTCAGCCACCCGAGATTGAGCAATAACAGGTCTGTGATGCCCTTAGATGTCCGGGGCTGCACGCGCGCTACACTGACTGGCTCAGCGTGTGCCTACCCTACGCCGGCAGGCGCGGGTAACCCGTTGAACCCCATTCGTGATGGGGATCGGGGATTGCAATTATTCCCCATGAACGAGGAATTCCCAGTAAGTGCGGGTCATAAGCTTGCGTTGATTAAGTCCCTGCCCTTTGTACACACCGCCCGTCGCTACTACCGATTGGATGGTTTAGTGAGGCCCTCGGATCGGCCCCGCCGGGGTCGGCCCACGGCCCTGGCGGAGCGCTGAGAAGACGGTCGAACTTGACTATCTAGAGGAAGTAAAAGTCGTAACAAGGTTTCCGTAGGTGAACCTGCGGAAGGATCATTAACGGAGCCCGGAGGGCGAGGCCCGCGGCGGCGCCGCCGCCGCGCGCTTCCCTCCGCACACCCACCCCCCCACCGCGACGCGGCGCGTGCGCGGGCGGGGCCCGCGTGCCCGTTCGTTCGCTCGCTCGTTCGTTCGCCGCCCGGCCCCGCCGGCCGCGAGAGCCGGAGAACTCGGGAGGGAGACGGGGGAGAGAGAGAGAGAGAGAGAAAGAGAAAGAAGGGCGTGTCGTTGGTGTGCGCGTGTCGTGGGGCCGGCGGGCGGCGGGGAGCGGTCCCCGGCAGCGGCCCCGACGGCGTGGGTGTCGGCGGGCGCGGGGGCGGTTCTCGGCGGCGTCGCGGCGGGTCTGGGGGTCTCGGTGCCCTCCTCCCCGCCGGGGCCCGTCGTCCGGCCCCGCCGCGCCGGCTCCCCGTCTTCGGGGCCGGCCGGATTCCCGTCGCCTCCGCCGCGCCGCTCCGCGCCGCCGGGCACGGCCCCGCTCGCTCTCCCCGGCCTTCCCGCTAGGGCGTCTCGAGGGTCGGGGGCCGGACGCCGGTCCCCTCCCCCGCCTCCTCGTCCGCCCCCCCGCCGTCCAGGTACCTAGCGCGTTCCGGCGCGGAGGTTTAAAGACCCCTTGGGGGGATCGCCCGTCCGCCCGTGGGTCGGGGGCGGTGGTGGGCCCGCGGGGGAGTCCCGTCGGGAGGGGCCCGGCCCCTCCCGCGCCTCCACCGCGGACTCCGCTCCCCGGCCGGGGCCGCGCCGCCGCCGCCGCCGCGGCGGCCGTCGGGTGGGGGCTTTACCCGGCGGCCGTCGCGCGCCTGCCGCGCGTGTGGCGTGCGCCCCGCGCCGTGGGGGCGGGAACCCCCGGGCGCCTGTGGGGTGGTGTCCGCGCTCGCCCCCGCGTGGGCGGCGCGCGCCTCCCCGTGGTGTGAAACCTTCCGACCCCTCTCCGGAGTCCGGTCCCGTTTGCTGTCTCGTCTGGCCGGCCTGAGGCAACCCCCTCTCCTCTTGGGGGGGGGCGGGGGGACGTGCCGCGCCAGGAAGGGCCTCCTCCCGGTGCGTCGTCGGGAGCGCCCTCGCCAAATCGACCTCGTACGACTCTTAGCGGTGGATCACTCGGCTCGTGCGTCGATGAAGAACGCAGCTAGCTGCGAGAATTAATGTGAATTGCAGGACACATTGATCATCGACACTTCGAACGCACTTGCGGCCCCGGGTTCCTCCCGGGGCTACGCCTGTCTGAGCGTCGCTTGCCGATCAATCGCCCCCGGGGGTGCCTCCGGGCTCCTCGGGGTGCGCGGCTGGGGGTTCCCTCGCAGGGCCCGCCGGGGGCCCTCCGTCCCCCTAAGCGCAGACCCGGCGGCGTCCGCCCTCCTCTTGCCGCCGCGCCCGCCCCTTCCCCCTCCCCCCGCGGGCCCTGCGTGGTCACGCGTCGGGTGGCGGGGGGGAGAGGGGGGCGCGCCCGGCTGAGAGAGACGGGGAGGGCGGCGCCGCCGCCGCCCGCGAAGACGGAGAGGGAAAGAGAGAGCCGGCTCGGGCCGAGTTCCCGTGGCCGCCGCCTGCGGTCCGGGTTCCTCCCTCGGGGGGCTCCCTCGCGCCGCGCGCGGCTCGGGGTTCGGGGTTCGTCGGCCCCGGCCGGGTGGAAGGTCCCGTGCCCGTCGTCGTCGTCGTCGCGCGTCGTCGGCGGTGGGGGCGTGTTGCGTGCGGTGTGGTGGTGGGGGAGGAGGAAGGCGGGTCCGGAAGGGGAAGGGTGCCGGCGGGGAGAGAGGGTCGGGGGAGCGCGTCCCGGTCGCCGCGGTTCGCCGCCCGCCCCCGGTGGCGCCCGGCGTCCGCCGACCGCCGCTCCCGCGCCCCTCCTCCTCCCCCGCCGCCCCTCCTCCGAGGGCCCGCCCTGTCCTCCTCGCCCTCCCCGCGCGTACGCGCGCCCGCCCGCCCGGCTCGCCTCGCGGCGCGTCGGCCGGGGCCGGGAGCCCGCCCCGCGGCCCGCCCGGCCGCGCCCGTGGCCGCGGCGCCGGGGTTCGCGTGTCCCCGGCGGCGACCCGCGGGACGCCGCGGTGTCGTCCGCCGTCGCGCGCCCGCCTCCGGCTCGCGGCCGCGCCGCGCCGCGCCGGGGCCCCGTCCCGAGCTTCCGCGTCGGGGCGGGGCGGCTCCGCCGCCGCGTCCTCGGACCCGTCCCCCCGACCTCCGCGGGGGAGACGGGTCGGGGCGTGCGGCGCCCGTCCCGCCCCCGGCCCGTGCCCCTCCCTCCGGTCGTCCCGCTCCGGCGGGGCGGCGCGGGGGTGCCCTCGGCCGCGGCTCTCTCTCCCGTCGCCTCTCCCCCTCGCCGGGCCCGTCTCCCGACGGAGCGTCGGGCGGGCGGTCGGGCCGGCGCGATTCCGTCCGTCCGTCCGCCGAGCGGCCCGTCCCCCTCCGAGACGCGACCTCAGATCAGACGTGGCGACCCGCTGAATTTAAGCATATTAGTCAGCGGAGGAAAAGAAACTAACCAGGATTCCCTCAGTAACGGCGAGTGAACAGGGAAGAGCCCAGCGCCGAATCCCCGCCCCGCGGCGGGGCGCGGGACATGTGGCGTACGGAAGACCCGCTCCCCGGCGCCGCTCGTGGGGGGCCCAAGTCCTTCTGATCGAGGCCCAGCCCGTGGACGGTGTGAGGCCGGTAGCGGCCCCCGGCGCGCCGGGCCCGGGTCTTCCCGGAGTCGGGTTGCTTGGGAATGCAGCCCAAAGCGGGTGGTAAACTCCATCTAAGGCTAAATACCGGCACGAGACCGATAGTCAACAAGTACCGTAAGGGAAAGTTGAAAAGAACTTTGAAGAGAGAGTTCAAGAGGGCGTGAAACCGTTAAGAGGTAAACGGGTGGGGTCCGCGCAGTCCGCCCGGAGGATTCAACCCGGCGGCGGGTCCGGCCGTGTCGGCGGCCCGGCGGATCTTTCCCGCCCCCCGTTCCTCCCGACCCCTCCACCCGCCCTCCCTTCCCCCGCCGCCCCTCCTCCTCCTCCCCGGAGGGGGCGGGCTCCGGCGGGTGCGGGGGTGGGCGGGCGGGGCCGGGGGTGGGGTCGGCGGGGGACCGTCCCCCGACCGGCGACCGGCCGCCGCCGGGCGCATTTCCACCGCGGCGGTGCGCCGCGACCGGCTCCGGGACGGCTGGGAAGGCCGGCGGGGAAGGTGGCTCGGGGGGCCCCGTCCGTCCGTCCGTCCGTCCTCCTCCTCCCCGTCTCCGCCCCGGCCCCGCGTCCTCCCTCGGGAGGGCGCGCGGGTCGGGGCGGCGGCGGCGGTGGCGGCGGCGGCGGCGGCGGCGGGACCGAAACCCCCCCCGAGTGTTACAGCCCCCCCGGCAGCAGCACTCGCCGAATCCCGGGGCCGAGGGAGCGAGACCCGTCGCCGCGCTCTCCCCCCTCCCGGCGCCCACCCCCGCGGGGAATCCCCCGCGAGGGGGGTCTCCCCCGCGGGGGCGCGCCGGCGTCTCCTTGTGGGGGGACCGGGCCACCCCTCCCACGGCGAGAAGACTGTCCCACCCATCCTCCCCGCGCCCCCGCCCCGGCGACGGGGGGGGTGCCGCGCGCGGGTCGGGGGGCGGGGCGGACTGTCCCCAGTGCGCCCCGGGCGGGTCGCGCCGTCGGGCCCGGGGGGAGGTTCTCTCGGGGCCACGCGCGCGTCCCCCGAAGAGGGGGACGGCGGAGCGAGCGCACGGGGTCGGCGGCGACGTCGGCTACCCACCCGACCCGTCTTGAAACACGGACCAAGGAGTCTAACACGTGCGCGAGTCGGGGGCTCGCACGAAAGCCGCCGTGGCGCAATGAAGGTGAAGGCCGGCGCGCTCGCCGGCCGAGGTGGGATCCCGAGGCCTCTCCAGTCCGCCGAGGGCGCACCACCGGCCCGTCTCGCCCGCCGCGCCGGGGAGGTGGAGCACGAGCGCACGTGTTAGGACCCGAAAGATGGTGAACTATGCCTGGGCAGGGCGAAGCCAGAGGAAACTCTGGTGGAGGTCCGTAGCGGTCCTGACGTGCAAATCGGTCGTCCGACCTGGGTATAGGGGCGAAAGACTAATCGAACCATCTAGTAGCTGGTTCCCTCCGAAGTTTCCCTCAGGATAGCTGGCGCTCTCGCAGACCCGACGCACCCCCGCCACGCAGTTTTATCCGGTAAAGCGAATGATTAGAGGTCTTGGGGCCGAAACGATCTCAACCTATTCTCAAACTTTAAATGGGTAAGAAGCCCGGCTCGCTGGCGTGGAGCCGGGCGTGGAATGCGAGTGCCTAGTGGGCCACTTTTGGTAAGCAGAACTGGCGCTGCGGGATGAACCGAACGCCGGGTTAAGGCGCCCGATGCCGACGCTCATCAGACCCCAGAAAAGGTGTTGGTTGATATAGACAGCAGGACGGTGGCCATGGAAGTCGGAATCCGCTAAGGAGTGTGTAACAACTCACCTGCCGAATCAACTAGCCCTGAAAATGGATGGCGCTGGAGCGTCGGGCCCATACCCGGCCGTCGCCGGCAGTCGAGAGTGGACGGGAGCGGCGGGGGCGGCGCGCGCGCGCGCGCGTGTGGTGTGCGTCGGAGGGCGGCGGCGGCGGCGGGGGTGTGTGGGGTCCTCCCCCGCCCCCCCCCCACGCCTCCTCCCCTCCTCCCGCCCACGCCCCGCTCCCCGCCCCCGGAGCCCCGCGGACGCTACGCCGCGACGAGTAGGAGGGCCGCTGCGGTGAGCCTTGAAGCCTAGGGCGCGGGCCCGGGTGGAGCCGCCGCAGGTGCAGATCTTGGTGGTAGTAGCAAATATTCAAACGAGAACTTTGAAGGCCGAAGTGGAGAAGGGTTCCATGTGAACAGCAGTTGAACATGGGTCAGTCGGTCCTGAGAGATGGGCGAGCGCCGTTCCGAAGGGACGGGCGATGGCCTCCGTTGCCCTCGGCCGATCGAAAGGGAGTCGGGTTCAGATCCCCGAATCCGGAGTGGCGGAGATGGGCGCCGCGAGGCGTCCAGTGCGGTAACGCGACCGATCCCGGAGAAGCCGGCGGGAGCCCCGGGGAGAGTTCTCTTTTCTTTGTGAAGGGCAGGGCGCCCTGGAATGGGTTCGCCCCGAGAGAGGGGCCCGTGCCTTGGAAAGCGTCGCGGTTCCGGCGGCGTCCGGTGAGCTCTCGCTGGCCCTTGAAAATCCGGGGGAGAGGGTGTAAATCTCGCGCCGGGCCGTACCCATATCCGCAGCAGGTCTCCAAGGTGAACAGCCTCTGGCATGTTGGAACAATGTAGGTAAGGGAAGTCGGCAAGCCGGATCCGTAACTTCGGGATAAGGATTGGCTCTAAGGGCTGGGTCGGTCGGGCTGGGGCGCGAAGCGGGGCTGGGCGCGCGCCGCGGCTGGACGAGGCGCCGCCGCCCCCCCCACGCCCGGGGCACCCCCCTCGCGGCCCTCCCCCGCCCCACCCCGCGCGCGCCGCTCGCTCCCTCCCCGCCCCGCGCCCTCTCTCTCTCTCTCTCCCCCGCTCCCCGTCCTCCCCCCTCCCCGGGGGAGCGCCGCGTGGGGGCGGCGGCGGGGGGAGAAGGGTCGGGGCGGCAGGGGCCGGCGGCGGCCCGCCGCGGGGCCCCGGCGGCGGGGGCACGGTCCCCCGCGAGGGGGGCCCGGGCACCCGGGGGGCCGGCGGCGGCGGCGACTCTGGACGCGAGCCGGGCCCTTCCCGTGGATCGCCCCAGCTGCGGCGGGCGTCGCGGCCGCCCCCGGGGAGCCCGGCGGGCGCCGGCGCGCCCCCCCCCCCACCCCACGTCTCGTCGCGCGCGCGTCCGCTGGGGGCGGGGAGCGGTCGGGCGGCGGCGGTCGGCGGGCGGCGGGGCGGGGCGGTTCGTCCCCCCGCCCTACCCCCCCGGCCCCGTCCGCCCCCCGTTCCCCCCTCCTCCTCGGCGCGCGGCGGCGGCGGCGGCAGGCGGCGGAGGGGCCGCGGGCCGGTCCCCCCCGCCGGGTCCGCCCCCGGGGCCGCGGTTCCGCGCGGCGCCTCGCCTCGGCCGGCGCCTAGCAGCCGACTTAGAACTGGTGCGGACCAGGGGAATCCGACTGTTTAATTAAAACAAAGCATCGCGAAGGCCCGCGGCGGGTGTTGACGCGATGTGATTTCTGCCCAGTGCTCTGAATGTCAAAGTGAAGAAATTCAATGAAGCGCGGGTAAACGGCGGGAGTAACTATGACTCTCTTAAGGTAGCCAAATGCCTCGTCATCTAATTAGTGACGCGCATGAATGGATGAACGAGATTCCCACTGTCCCTACCTACTATCCAGCGAAACCACAGCCAAGGGAACGGGCTTGGCGGAATCAGCGGGGAAAGAAGACCCTGTTGAGCTTGACTCTAGTCTGGCACGGTGAAGAGACATGAGAGGTGTAGAATAAGTGGGAGGCCCCCGGCGCCCCCCCGGTGTCCCCGCGAGGGGCCCGGGGCGGGGTCCGCCGGCCCTGCGGGCCGCCGGTGAAATACCACTACTCTGATCGTTTTTTCACTGACCCGGTGAGGCGGGGGGGCGAGCCCCGAGGGGCTCTCGCTTCTGGCGCCAAGCGCCCGGCCGCGCGCCGGCCGGGCGCGACCCGCTCCGGGGACAGTGCCAGGTGGGGAGTTTGACTGGGGCGGTACACCTGTCAAACGGTAACGCAGGTGTCCTAAGGCGAGCTCAGGGAGGACAGAAACCTCCCGTGGAGCAGAAGGGCAAAAGCTCGCTTGATCTTGATTTTCAGTACGAATACAGACCGTGAAAGCGGGGCCTCACGATCCTTCTGACCTTTTGGGTTTTAAGCAGGAGGTGTCAGAAAAGTTACCACAGGGATAACTGGCTTGTGGCGGCCAAGCGTTCATAGCGACGTCGCTTTTTGATCCTTCGATGTCGGCTCTTCCTATCATTGTGAAGCAGAATTCACCAAGCGTTGGATTGTTCACCCACTAATAGGGAACGTGAGCTGGGTTTAGACCGTCGTGAGACAGGTTAGTTTTACCCTACTGATGATGTGTTGTTGCCATGGTAATCCTGCTCAGTACGAGAGGAACCGCAGGTTCAGACATTTGGTGTATGTGCTTGGCTGAGGAGCCAATGGGGCGAAGCTACCATCTGTGGGATTATGACTGAACGCCTCTAAGTCAGAATCCCGCCCAGGCGGAACGATACGGCAGCGCCGCGGAGCCTCGGTTGGCCTCGGATAGCCGGTCCCCCGCCTGTCCCCGCCGGCGGGCCGCCCCCCCCCTCCACGCGCCCCGCGCGCGCGGGAGGGCGCGTGCCCCGCCGCGCGCCGGGACCGGGGTCCGGTGCGGAGTGCCCTTCGTCCTGGGAAACGGGGCGCGGCCGGAGAGGCGGCCGCCCCCTCGCCCGTCACGCACCGCACGTTCGTGGGGAACCTGGCGCTAAACCATTCGTAGACGACCTGCTTCTGGGTCGGGGTTTCGTACGTAGCAGAGCAGCTCCCTCGCTGCGATCTATTGAAAGTCAGCCCTCGACACAAGGGTTTGTCCGCGCGCGCGCGCGCGCGCGCGTGCGGGGGGCCCGGCGGGGCGTGCGCGTCCGGCGCCGTCCGTCCTTCCGTTCGTCTTCCTCCCTCCCGGCCTCTCCCGCCGACCGCGGGCGTGGTGGTGGGGGTGTGGGGGGGAGGGCGCGCGACCCCGGTCGGCGCGCCCCGCTTCTTCGGTTCCCGCCTCCTCCCCGTTCACCGCCGGGGCGGCTCGTCCGCTCCGGGCCGGGACGGGGTCCGGGGAGCGTGGTTTGGGAGCCGCGGAGGCGGCCGCGCCGAGCCGGGCCCGTGGCCCGCCGGTCCCCGTCCCGGGGGTTGGCCGCGCGGGCCCCGGTGGGGCGGCCACCCGGGGTCCCGGCCCTCGCGCGTCCTTCCTCCTCGCTCCTCCGCACGGGTCGACCAGCAGACCGCGGGTGGTGGGCGGCGGGCGGCGACGCCCTCTCGCTCTCTCTCTGTCTCTGTGTGTGTCTGTCTCTCTCCCTCCCTCCCTCCCTCCCTCCCTCCCTCCCTCCCTCCCTCCCTCCCCTTCCTTGGTGCCTTCTCGGCTCTTGAGACTTAGCCGCTGTCTCGCCGTGCCCCGGGTCGACCGGCGGGCCTTCTCCACCGAGCGGCGTGTAAGAGTGCCCGTCGGGACGAGCCGGACCCGCCGCGTCCCCGTCTCGGTCGGCACCTCCGGGGTCGACCAGCTGCCGCCCGCGAGCTCCGGACTTAGCCGGCGTCTGCACGTGTCCCGGGTCGACCAGCAGGCGGCCGCCGGACGCTGCGGCGCACCGACGCGAGGGCGCTGATTCCCGTTCACGCGCCCGCGACCTCCACCGGCCTCGGCCCGCCGTGGAGCTGGGACCACGCGGAACTCCCTCTCCTACATTTTTTTCAGCCCCACCGCGAGTTTGCGTCCGCGGGACTTTTAAGAGGGAGTCACTGCTGCCGTCAGCCAGTAATGCTTCCTCCTTTTTTGCTTTTAGGTTTTGTCTTGCCTTTTTTTTTTTTTTTTTTTCTTCTTTCTTTCTTTCTTTCTTTCTTTCTTTCTTTCTTTCTTTCTTTCTTTGCCGCTCTCGCTCTCTCGCTCTCTCCCTCTCTCGTTTTCTTTCTCTTTCTCTTTCTCTCTCTCTCTCTCTCTCTCTCTCTGTCTCTCGCTCTCGCCCTCTCTCTCTCTCTCTTTCTCTCTGTCTCTCTCTGTCTCTCTCTCTCTCTCTCTCTCTCTCTCTCTCTCTCTCTCTCTCTCTCTCTCTCCCTCCCCCTCCCTCCCTCTCTCCCCTTCCTTGGTGCCTTCTCGGCTCTTGACACTTAGCCGCTGTCTCGCCGTGTCCCGGGTCGACCGGCGGGCCTTCTCCACCGAGCGGCGTGTAAGAGTGCCCGTCGGGACGAGCCGGACCCGCCGCGTCCCCGTCTCGGTCGGCACCTCCGGGGTCGACCAGCTGCCGCCCGCGAGCTCCGGACTTAGCTGGCGTCTGCACGTGTCCCGGGTCGACCAGCAGGCGGCCGCCGGACGCTGCGGCGCACCGACGCGAGGGCGTCGATTCCGGTTCACGCGCCGGCGACCTCCACCGGCCTCGGCCCGCGGTGGAGCTGGGACCACGCGGAACTCCCTCTTCTACATTTTTTTCAGCCCCACCGCGAGTTTGCGTCCGCGGGACTTTTAAGAGGGAGTCACTGCTGCCGTCAGCCAGTAATGCTTCCTCCTTTTTTGCTTTTAGGTTTTGTCTTGCCTTTTTTTTTTTTTTTTTTTTTTCTTTCTTTCTTTCTTTCTTTCTTTCTTTCTTTCTTTCTTTCTTTCTTTCTCGCTCTCGCTCTCTCGCTCTCTCCCTCGCTCGTTTTCTTTCTCTTTCTCTTTCTCTCTCTCTCTCTCTCTCTCTCTCTGTCTCTCGCTCTCGCCCTCTCTCTCTCTCTCTTTCTCTCTGTCTCTCTCTGTCTCTCTCTCTCTCTCTCTCTCTCTCTCTCTCTCTCTCTCTCTCTCTCTCTCTCCCTCCCCCTCCCTCCCTCTCTCCCCTTCCTTGGTGCCTTCTCGGCTCTTGACACTTAGCCGCTGTCTCGCCGTGTCCCGGGTCGACCGGCGGGCCTTCTCCACCGAGCGGCGTGTAAGAGTGCCCGTCGGGACGAGCCGGACCCGCCGCGTCCCCGTCTCGGTCGGCACCTCCGGGGTCGACCAGCTGCCGCCCGCGAGCTCCGGACTTAGCTGGCGTCTGCACGTGTCCCGGGTCGACCAGCAGGCGGCCGCCGGACGCTGCGGCGCACCGACGCGAGGGCGTCGATTCCGGTTCACGCGCCGGCGACCTCCACCGGCCTCGGCCCGCGGTGGAGCTGGGACCACGCGGAACTCCCTCTTCTACATTTTTTTCAGCCCCACTGCGAGTTTGCGTCCGCGGGACTTTTAAGAGGGAGTCACTGCTGCCGTCAGCCAGTAATGCTTCCTCCTTTTTTGCTTTTTGGTTTTGCCTTGCGTTTTCTTTCTTTCTTTCTTTCTTTCTTTCTTTCTTTCTTTTCTTTCTTTCTTTCTTTCTTTCTTTCTTTCTCTCTCTCTCTCTCTCTCTCTGTCTCTCTCCCCTCCCTCCCTCCTTGGTGCCTTCTCGGCTCGCTGCTGCTGCTGCCTCTGCCTCCACGGTTCAAGCAAACAGCAAGTTTTCTATTTCGAGTAAAGACGTAATTTCACCATTTTGGCCGGGCTGGTCTCGAACTCCCGACCTAGTGATCCGCCCGCCTCGGCCTCCCAAAGACTGCTGGGAGTACAGATGTGAGCCACCATGCCCGGCCGATTCCTTCCTTTTTTCAATCTTATTTTCTGAACGCTGCCGTGTATGAACATACATCTACACATACACACACACACACACACACACACACACACACACACACACACACACACACACACACCCCCCGTAGTGATAAAACTATGTAAATGATATTTCCATAATTAATACGTTTATATTATGTTACTTTTAATGGATGAATATGTATCGAAGCCCCATTTCATTTACATACACGTGTATGTATATCCTTCCTCCCTTCCTTCATTCATTATTTATTAATAATTTTCGTTTATTTATTTTCTTTTCTTTTGGGGCCGGCCCGCCTGGTCTTCTGTCTCTGCGCTCTGGTGACCTCAGCCTCCCAAATAGCTGGGACTACAGGGATCTCTTAAGCCCGGGAGGGAGAGGTTAACGTGGGCTGTGATCGCACACTTCCACTCCAGCTTACGTGGGCTGCGGTGGGGTGGGGTGCAGAGAAAACGATTGATTGCGATCTCAATTGCCTTTTAGCTTCATTCATACCCTGTTATTTGCTCGTTTATTCTCATGGGTTCTTCTGTGTCATTGTCACGTTCATCGTTTGCTTGCCTGCTTGCCTGTTTATTTCCTTCCTTCCTTCCTTCCTTCCTTCCTTCCTTCCTTCCCTCCTTCCTTCCTTCCTTCCCTCCCTTACTGGCAGGGTCTTCCTCTGTCTCTGCCGCCCAGGATCACCCCAACCTCAACGCTTTGGACCGACCAAACGGTCGTTCTGCCTCTGATCCCTCCCATCCCCATTACCTGAGACTACAGGCGCGCACCACCACACCGGCTGACTTTTATGTTGTTTCTCATGTTTTCCGTAGGTAGGTATGTGTGTGTGTGTGTGTGTGTGTGTGTGTGTGTGTGTGTGTGTGTGTGTGTGTATCTATGTATGTACGTATGTATGTATGTATGTGAGTGAGATGGGTTTCGGGGTTCTATCATGTTGCCCACGCTGGTCTCGAACTCCTGTCCTCAAGCAATCCGCCTGCCTGCCTCGGCCGCCCACACTGCTGCTATTACAGGCGTGAGACGCTGCGCCTGGCTCCTTCTACATTTGCCTGCCTGCCTGCCTGCCTGCCTGCCTGCCTGCCTGCCTGCCTGCCTGCCTGCCTATCAATCGTCTTCTTTTTAGTACGGATGTGCTCTCGCTTTATTGTCCATGCTCTGGGCACACGTGGTCTCTTTTCAAACTTCTATGATTATTATTATTGTAGGCGTCATCTCACGTGTCGAGGTGATCTCGAACTTTTAGGCTCCAGAGATCCTCCCGCATCGGCCTCCCGGAGTGCTGTGATGACACGCGTGGGCACGGTACGCTCTGGTCGTGTTTGTCGTGGGTCGGTTCTTTCCGTTTTTAATACGGGGACTGCGAACGAAGAAAATTTCCAGACGCATCTCACCGATCCGCCTTTTCGTTCTTTCTTTTTATTCTCTTTAGACGGAGTTTCACTCTTGTCGCCCAGGGTGGAGTACGATGGCGGCTCTCGGCTCACCGCACCCTCCGCCTCCCAGGTTCAAGTGATTCTCCTGCCTCAGCCTTCCCGAGTAGCTGGAATGACAGAGATGAGCCATCGTGCCCGGCTAATTTTTCTATTTTTACTACAGATGGGGTTTCTCCATCTTGGTCAGGCTGGTCTTCAACTTCCGACCGTTGGAGAATCTTAACTTTCTTGGTGGTGGTTGTTTTCCTTTTTCTTTTTTTTCTTTTCTTTTCTTTCCTTCTCCTCCCCCCCCACCCCCCCTTGTCGTCGTCCTCCTCCTCCTCCTCCTCCTCCTCCTCCTCCTCCTCCTCCTCCTCCTCTTTCATTTCTTTCAGCTGGGCTCTCCTACGTGTGTTGCTCTGTTGCTCACGCTGGTCTCAAACTCCTGGCCTTGACGCTTCTCCCGTCACATCCGCCGTCTGGTTGTTGAAATGAGCATCTCTCGTAAAATGGAAAAGATGAAAGAAATAAACACGAAGACGGAAAGCACGGTGTGAACGTTTCTCTTGCCGTCTCCCGGGGTGTACCTTGGACCCGGAAACACGGAGGGAGCTTGGCTGAGTGGGTTTTCGGTGCCGAAACCTCCCGAGGGCCTCCTTCCCTCTCCCCCTTGTCCCCGCTTCTCCCCCAGCCGAGGCTCCCACCGCCGCCCTGGCATTTTCCATAGGAGAGGTATGGGAGAGGACTGACACGCCTTCCAGATCTATATCCTGCCGGACGTCTCTGGCTCGGCGTGCCCCACCGGCTACCTGCCACCTTCCAGGGAGCTCTGAGGCGGATGCGACCCCCACCCCCCCGTCACGTCCCGCTACCCTCCCCCGGCTGGCCTTTGCCGGGCGACCCCAGGGGAACCGCGTTGATGCTGCCTTCGGATCCTCCGGCGAAGACTTCCACCGGATGCCCCGGGTGGGCCGGTTGGGATCAGACTGGACCACCCCGGACCGTGCTGTTCTTGGGGGTGGGTTGACGTACAGGGTGGACTGGCAGCCCCAGCATTGTAAAGGGTGCGTGGGTATGGAAATGTCACCTAGGATGCCCTCCTTCCCTTCGGTCTGCCTTCAGCTGCCTCAGGCGTGAAGACAACTTCCCATCGGAACCTCTTCTCTTCCCTTTCTCCAGCACACAGATGAGACGCACGAGAGGGAGAAACAGCTCAATAGATACCGCTGACCTTCATTTGTGGAATCCTCAGTCATCGACACACAAGACAGGTGACTAGGCAGGGACACAGATCAAACACTATTTCCGGGTCCTCGTGGTGGGATTGGTCTCTCTCTCTCTCTCTCTCTCTCTCTCTCTCTCTCTCTCTCTCGCACGCGCACGCGCGCACACACACACACAATTTCCATATCTAGTTCACAGAGCACACTCACTTCCCCTTTTCACAGTACGCAGGCTGAGTAAAACCCGCCCCACCCTCCACCCGTTGGCTGACGAAACCCCTTCTCTACAATTGATGAAAAAGATGATCTGGGCCGGGCACGCTAGCTCACGCCTGTCACTCCGGCACTTTGGGAGGCCGAGGCGGGTGGATCGCTTGGGGCCGGGAGTTCGAGACCAGGCTGGCCGACGTGGCGAAACCCCGTCTCTCTGAAAAATAGAACGATTAGCCGGGCCTGGTGGCGTGGGCTTGGAATCACGACCGCTCGGGAGACTGGGGCGGGCGACTTGTTCCAACCGGGGAGGCCGAGGTTGCGATGAGCTGAGATCGTGCCGTGGCGATGCGGCCTGGATGACGGAGCGAGACCCCGTGTCGAGAGAATCATGATGTTATTATAAGATGAGTTGTGCGCGGTGATGGCCGCCTGTAGTCGCGGCTACTCGGGAGGCTGAGACGAGGAGAAGATCACTTGAGGCCCCACAGGTCGAGGCTTCGGTCGGCCGTGACCCACTGTATCCTGGGCAGTCACCGGTCAAGGAGATATGCCCCTTCCCCGTTTGCTTTTCTTTTCTTCCCTTCTCTTTTCTTCTTTTTGCTTCTCTTTTCTTTCTTTCTTTCTTTCTTTCTTTCTTTCTTTCTTTCTTTTTCTTTTTCTCTCTTCCCCTCTTTCTTTCCTGCCTTCCTGCCTTTCTTCTTTTCTTCTTTCCTCCCTTCCTCCCTTCCTTCTTTCCTCCCGCCTCAGCCTCCCAAAGTGCTGGGATGACTGGCGGGAGGCACCATGCCTGCTTGGCCCAAAGAGACCCTCTTGGAAAGTGAGACGCAGAGAGCGCCTTCCAGTGATCTCATTGACTGATTTAGAGACGGCATCTCGCTCCGTCACCCCGGCAGTGGTGCCGTCGTAACTCACTCCCTGCAGCGTGGACGCTCCTGGACTCGAGCGATCCTTCCACCTCAGCCTCCAGAGTACAGAGCCTGGGACCGCGGGCACGCGCCACTGTGCCCACACCGTTTTTAATTGTTTTTTTTTCCCCCGAGACAGAGTTTCACTCTCGTGGCCTAGACTGCAGTGCGGTGGCGCGATCTTGGCTCACCGCAACCTCTGCCTCCCGGTTTCAAGCGATTCTCCTGCATCGGCCTCCTGAGTAGCCGGGATTGCGGGCATGCGCTGCCACGTCTGGCTGATTTCGTATTTTTAGTGGAGACGGGGCTTCTCCATGTCGATCGGGCTGGTTTCGAACTCCCGACCTCAGGTGATCCGCCCTCCCCGGCCTCCGGAAGTGCTGGGATGACAGGCGTGAGCCACCGCGCCCGGCCTTCATTTTTAAATGTTTTCCCACAGACGGGGTCTCATCATTTCTTTGCAACCCTCCTGCCCGGCGTCTCAAAGTGCTGGCGTGACGGGCGTGAGCCACTGCGCCTGGACTCCGGGGAATGACTCACGACCACCATCGCTCTACTGATCCTTTCTTTCTTTCTTTCTTTCTTTCTTTCTTTCTTTCTTTCTTTCTTTCTTTCTTTCTTTCTTGATGAATTATCTTATGATTTATTTGTGTACTTATTTTCAGACGGAGTCTCGCTCTGGGCGGGGCGAGGCGAGGCGAGGCACAGCGCATCGCTTTGGAAGCCGCGGCAACGCCTTTCAAAGCCCCATTCGTATGCACAGAGCCTTATTCCCTTCCTGGAGTTGGAGCTGATGCCTTCCGTAGCCTTGGGCTTCTCTCCATTCGGAAGCTTTGACAGGCGCAACCCCACCCAGAGGCTGGCTGCGGCTGAGGATTAGGGGGTGTGTTGGGGCTGAAAACTGGGTCCCCTATTTTTGATACCTCAGCCGACACATCCCCCGACCGCCATCGCTTGCTCGCCCTCTGAGATCCCCCGCCTCCACCGCCTTGCAGGCTCACCTCTTACTTTCATTTCTTCCTTTCTTGCGTTTGAGGAGGGGGTGCGGGAATGAGGGTGTGTGTGGGGAGGGGGTGCGGGGTGGGGACGGAGGGGAGCGTCCTAAGGGTCGATTTAGTGTCATGCCTCTTTCACCACCACCACCACCACCGAAGATGACAGCAAGGATCGGCTAAATACCGCGTGTTCTCATCTAGAAGTGGGAACTTACAGATGACAGTTCTTGCATGGGCAGAACGAGGGGGACCGGGGACGCGGAAGCCTGCTTGAGGGAGGAGGGGTGGAAGGAGAGACAGCTTCAGGAAGAAAACAAAACACGAATACTGTCGGACACAGCACTGACTACCCGGGTGATGAAATCATCTGCACACTGAACACCCCCGTCACAAGTTTACCTATGTCACAGTCTTGCACATGTATGCTTGAACGACAAATAAAAGTTAGGGGGGAGAAGAGAGGAGAGAGAGAGAGAGAGAGAGACAGAGAGAGACAGAGAGAGAGAGAGAGGAGGGAGAGAGAAAACGAAACACCACCTCCTTGACCTGAGTCAGGGGGTTTCTGGCCTTTTGGGAGAACGTTCAGCGACAATGCAGTATTTGGGCCCGTTCTTTTTTTTTCTTCTTCTTTTCTTTCTTTTTTTTTGGACTGAGTCTCTCTCGCTCTGTCACCCAGGCTGCGGTGCGGTGGCGCTCTCTCGGCTCACTGAAACCTCTGCTTCCCGGGTTCCAGTGATTCTTCTTCGGTAGCTGGGATTACAGGCGCACACCATGACGGCCGGCTCATATTCCTATTTTCAGTAGAGACGGGGTTTCTCCACGTTGGCCACGCTGGTCTCGAACTCCTGACCTCAAATGATCCGCCTTCCTGGGCCTCCCAAAGTGCTGGAAACGACAGGCCTGAGCCGCCGGGATTTCAGCCTTTAAAAGCGCGGGCCCTGCCACCTTTCGCTGTGGCCCTTACGCTCAGAATGACGTGTCCTCTCTGCCGTAGGTTGACTCCTTGAGTCCCCTAGGCCATTGCACTGTAGCCTGGGCAGCAAGAGCCAAACTCCGTCCCCCCACCTCCCCGCGCACATAATAACTAACTAACAAACTAACTAACTAACTAAACTAACTAAATAAATAAAATCTCTACACGTCACCTCTAAGTGTGTGTTCCCGTGAGGAGTGATTTCTAAGAAATGGCACTGTACACTGAACGCAGTGGCTCACGTCTGTCATCCCGAGGTCAGGAGTTCGAGACCAGCCCGGCCAACGTGGTGAAACCCCCGTCTCTACTGAAAATACGAAATGGAGTCAGGCGCCGTGGGGCAGGCACCTGTAACCCCAGCTACTCGGGAGGCTGGGGTGGAAGAATTGCTTGAACCTGGCAGGCGGAGGCTGCAGTGACCCAAGATCGCACCACTGCACTACAGCCTGGGCGACAGAGTGAGACCCGGTCTCCAGATAAATACGTACATAAATAAATACACACATACATACATACATACATACATACATACATACATACATACATCCATGCATACAGATATACAAGAAAGAAAAAAAGAAAAGAAAAGAAAGAGAAAATGAAAGAAAAGGCACTGTATTGCTACTGGGCTAGGGCCTTCTCTCTGTCTGTTTCTCTCTGTTCGTCTCTGTCTTTCTCTCTGTGTCTCTTTCTCTGTCTGTCTGTCTCTTTCTTTCTCTCTGTCTCTGTCTCTGTCTTTGTCTCTCTCTCTCCCTCTCTGCCTGTCTCACTGTGTCTGTCTTCTGTCTTACTCTCTTTCTCTCCCCGTCTGTCTCTCTCTCTCTCTCTCCCTCCCTGTTTGTTTCTCTCTCTCCCTCCCTGTCTGTTTCTCTCTCTCTCTTTCTGTCTGTTTCTGTCTCTCTCTGTCTGTCTATGTCTTTCTCTGTCTGTCTCTTTCTCTGTCTGTCTGCCTCTCTCTTTCTTTTTCTGTGTCTCTCTGTCGGTCTCTCTCTCTCTGTCTGTCTGTCTGTCTCTCTCTCTCTCTCTCTGTGCCTATCTTCTGTCTTACTCTCTTTCTCTGCCTGTCTGTCTGTCTCTCCCTCCCTTTCTGTTTCTCTCTCTCTCTCTCTCTCTCTCCCCCTCTCCCTGTCTGTTTCTCTCCGTCTCTCTCTCTTTCTGTCTGTTTCTCACTGTCTCTCTCTCTCCCTCTCTCGCTCTCTCTGTCTTTCTCTCTTTCTCTCTGTTTCTCTGTCTCTCTCTGTCCGTCTCTGTCTTTTTCTGTCTGTCTCTCTCTTTCTTTCTGTCTGTCTCTGTCTCTGTCTCTCTCTCTCTCTCTGCTTGTCTCTCTCACTGTGTCTGTCCTCTGTCTTACTCTCCTTCTCTGCCTGTCCGTCTGTCTGTCTGTCTCTCTCTCTCTCCCTCCCTTTCTGTTTCTCTCTCGCTCTCTCTCTCTCTCTCTCTCTCTCTCTCTGCCTGTTTCTCTTTCTCTCTCTGTCTGTCTCTGTCTTTCTCTGTCTGTCTCTTTCTCTGTCTGTCTGTCTCCTTCTCTCTGTCTCCGTCTCTGTCTCTCTCTCTCTGTCTCTCTCTCTCTGCCTGTCTCACTGTGTCTGTCTTCTGTCTTATTCTCTTTCTCTGTCTGTCTGTCTCTCTCTCTCCCTTCCTGTCTCTTTCTCTCTCTCTCTCTCTTTCTGTCTGTTTCTCTCTGCCTGTCTCCGTCTTTCTCTGTCTGCCTCTCTCTTTCTTTTTCTGCGTCTCTCTGTCTCTCTCTCTCTGTGCCTATCTTCTGTCTTACTCTGTTTCTCTGCCTGCCTGTCTGTCTGTCTGTCTCTCTCTCTCTCTGTCTCTCTCTCTTTCTGTCTGTTTCTCTCTGTCTCTCTGTCCATCTCGGTCTTTCTCTGTCCGTCTCTCTCTTTCTCCCGGTCTCTGTCTCTGCCTCTGCCTCTCTCTCTCTCGGTCTCTCTCTTTCTATCGGTTTCTCTCGGTCTCTCGGTCCATCTCGGTCTTTCTCGGTCGGTCTCTCTCTTTCTCCCGGTCTCGGTCTCGGCCTCTCTCTCTCTCTCTCGTCGTCTTTCAGGACTGTGTGTGTGTCTCTGTCTCTGCCTCTCTCTCTCTCTCTCTCTCTGTCTGTCTCTCTCACTGTGTGTGTCTGTCTTCTGTCTTACTCTCCTTCTCTGCCTGTCCGTCTGTCTGTCTGTCTCTCCCTCTCTCTCCCTCCCTTTCTGTTTCTCTCTCTCTCTCTCTCTCTTTCTGTCTGTTTCTCTCTTTCTCTCTCTGTCTGTCTCTTTCTCTGTCTGTCTGTCTCTCTCTTTCTTTTTCTCTGTCTCTCTGTCTCTCTCTGTGCCTGTCTCTCTGTCTGTGCCTATCTTCTGTCTTACTCTCTTTCTCTGGCTGACTGCCTGTCTCTCTCTCTCTCTCTCTCTCTCTCTCTCTCTGCCTGTCTCCGTCCCTCCCTCCCTGTCTGTCTGTTTCTCTCTCTGTCCATTTCTGTCTGTCTCTTTCTCTTTCTCTCTCTTTCTTTCTCTCTGTCTCTCTCTGTCTCTCTCTGTCTCTCTCTCTCTCTCTCTCTCTCTCTCTCTCTCTCTCTCTCTCTGCCTTTCTCTCTCACTGTGTCGGTCTTCTGTCTTACTCTCTTTCTCTGCCTGCCTCTCTGTCTGTCTGTCTGTCTCTCTCCCTCCATGTCTCTCTCTCTCTCTCTCTCACTCACTGTCTCTCCGTCTCTCTCTCTTTCTGTCTGTTTCTCTCTGTCTCTGTCTTTCTGTGTGTCTGTCTGTCTCTCTCTCTATTTGTCTTTCTCCCTCCCTGTCTGTTTCTCTCTCTCTCTCTCTCTCTCTCTCTCTCCCTGTCTGTCTGTTTCTCTCTATCTCTCGCTGTCCATCTCTGTCTTTCTATGTCTGTCTCTTTCTCTGTCAGTCTGTCAGACACCCCCGTGCCGGGTAGGGCCCTGCCCCTTCCACGAAAGTGAGAAGCGCGTGCTTCGGTGCTTAGAGAGGCCGAGAGGAATCTAGACAGGCGGGCCTTGCTGGGCTTCCCCACTCGGTGTATGATTTCGGGAGGTCGAGGCCGGGTCCCCGCTTGGATGCGAGGGGCATTTTCAGACTTTTCTCTCGGTCACGTGTGGCGTCCGTACTTCTCCTATTTCCCCGATAAGCTCCTCGACTTCAACATAAACGGCGTCCTAAGGGTCGATTTAGTGTCATGCCTCTTTCACCGCCACCACCGAAGATGAAAGCAAAGATCGGCTAAATACCGCGTGTTCTCATCTAGAAGTGGGAACTTACAGATGACAGTTCTTGCATGGGCAGAACGAGGGGGACCGGGGACGCGGAAGCCTGCTTGAGGGAGGAGGGGTGGAAGGAGAGACAGCTTCAGGAAGAAAACAAAACACGAATACTGTCGGACACAGCACTGACTACCCGGGTGATGAAATCATCTGCACACTGAACACCCCCGTCACAAGTTTACCTATGTCACAGTCTTGCTCATGTATGCTTGAACGACAAATAAAAGTTCGGGGGGGAGAAGAGAGGAGAGAGAGAGAGAGACGGGGAGAGAGGGGGGAGAGGGGGGGGGAGAGAGAGAGAGAGAGAGAGAGAGAGAGAGAGAGAGAGAGAGAGAGAAAGAGAAGTAAAACCAACCACCACCTCCTTGACCTGAGTCAGGGGGTTTCTGGCCTTTTGGGAGAACGTTCAGCGACAATGCAGTATTTGGGCCCGTTCTTTTTTTCTTCTTCTTCTTTTCTTTCTTTTTTTTTGGACTGAGTCTCTCTCGCTCTGTCACCCAGGCTGCGGTGCGGTGGCGCTCTCTCGGCTCACTGAAACCTCTGCTTCCCGGGTTCCAGTGATTCTTCTTCGGTAGCTGGGATTACAGGTGCGCACCATGACGGCCGGCTCATCGTTCTATTTTTAGTAGAGACGGGGTTTCTCCACGTTGGCCACGCTGGTCTCGAACTCCTGACCACAAATGATCCACCTTCCTGGGCCTCCCAAAGTGCTGGAAACGACAGGCCTGAGCCGCCGGGATTTCAGCCTTTAAAAGCGCGGGCCCTGCCACCTTTCGCTGCGGCCCTTACGCTCAGAATGACGTGTCCTCTCTGCCATAGGTTGACTCCTTGAGTCCCCTAGGCCATTGCACTGTAGCCTGGGCAGCAAGAGCCAAACTCCGTCCCCCCACCTCCCCGCGCACATAATAACTAACTAACTAACTAACTAACTAAAATCTCTACACGTCACCCATAAGTGTGTGTTCCCGTGAGGAGTGATTTCTAAGAAATGGTACTGTACACTGAACGCAGTGGCTCACGTCTGTCATCCCGAGGTCAGGAGTTCGAGACCAGCCCGGCCAACGTGGTGAAACCCCCGTCTCTACTGAAAATACGAAATGGAGTCAGGCGCCGTGGGGCAGGCACCTGTAACCCCAGCTACTCGGGAGGCTGGGGTGGAAGAATTGCTTGAACCTGGCAGGCGGAGGCTGCAGTGACCCAAGATCGCACCACTGCACTACAGCCTGGGCGACAGAGTGAGACCCGGTCTCCAGATAAATACGTACATAAATAAATACACACATACATACATACATACATACATACATACATACATACATACAGATATACAAGAAAGAAAAAAAGAAAAGAAAAGAAAGAGAAAATGAAAGAAAAGGCACTGTATTGCTACTGGGCTAGGGCCTTCTCTCTGTCTGTTTCTCTCTGTTCGTCTCTGTCTTTCTCTCTGTGTCTCTTTCTCTGTCTGTCTGTCTGTCTGTCTGTCTCTTTCTTTCTTTCTGTCTCTGTCTTTGTCCCTCTCTCTCCCTCTCTGCCTGTCTCACTGTGTCTGTCTTCTATCTTACTCTCTTTCTCTCCCCGTCTGTCTCTCTCTCACTCCCTCCCTGTCTGTTTCTCTCTCTCTCTCTTTCTGTCTGTTTCTGTCTCTCTCTGTCTGCCTCTCTCTTTCTCTATCTGTCTCTTTCTCTGTCTGTCTGCCCCTCTCTTTCTTTTTCTGTGTCTCTCTGTCTGTCTCTCTCTCTCTCTGTGCCTATCTTCTGTCTTACTCTCTTTCTCTGCCTGTCTGTCTGTCTCTCTCTGTCTCTCCCTCCCTTTCTGCTTCTCTCTCTCTCTCTCTCTCTCCCCCCTCCCTGTCTGTTTCTCTCTGTCTCCCTCTCTTTCTGTCTGTTTCTCACTGTCTCTCTCTGTCTGTCTGTTTCATTCTCTCTGTCTCTGTCTCTGTCTCTCTCTCTCTCTGTCTCTCCCTCTCTGTGTGTATCTTTTGTCTTACTCTCCTTCTCTGCCTGTCCGTCTGTCTGTCTGTCTCTCTCTCTCCCTGTCCCTCTCTCTTTCTGTCTGTTTCTCTCTCTCTCTCTCTCTCTCTCTCTCTGTCTCTGTCTTTCTCTGTCTGTCCCTTTCTCTGTCTGTCTGCCTCTCTCTTTCTCTTTCTGTGTCTCTCTGTCTCTCTCTCTGTGCCTATCTTCTGTCTTACTCTCTTTCTCTGCCTGTCTATCTGTCTGTCTCTCTCTGTCTCTCTCCCTGCCTTTCTGTTTCTCTCTCTCTCCCTCTCTCGCTCTCTCTGTCTTTCTCTCTTTCTCTCTGTTTCTCTGTCTCTCTCTGTCCGTCTCTGTCTTTTTCTGTCTGTCTGTCTCTCTCTTTCTTTCTGTCGTCTGTCTCTGTCTCTGTCTCTGTCTCTCTCTCTCTCTCTCTCCTTGTCTCTCTCACTGTGTCTGTCTTCTGTCTTACTCTCCTTCTCTGCCTGTCCATCTGTCTGTCTGTCTCTCTCTCTCTCTCCCTACCTTTCTGTTTCTCTCTCGCTAGCTCTCTCTCTCTCTGCCTGTTTCTCTCTTTCTCTCTCTGTCTTTCTCTGTCTGTCTCTTTCTCTGTCTGTCTGTCTCTTTCTCTCTGTCTCTGTCTCTGTCTCTCTCTCTCTCTCTCTCTCTCTGCCTCTCTCACTGTGTCTGTCTTCTGTCTTATTCTCTTTCTCTCTCTGTCTCTCTCTCTCTCTCCTTTCCTGTCTGTTTTTCTCTCTCTCTCTCTCTTTCTGCCTGTTTCTCTCTGTCTGTCTCTGTCTTTCTCTGTCTGTCTGCCTCTCTCTTTCTTTTTCTGCGTCTCTCTGTCTCTCTCTCTCTCTCTCTGTTCCTATCTTCTGTCTTACTCTGTTTCCTTGCCTGCCTGCCTGTCTGTGTGTCTGTCTCTCTCTCTCTCTCTCTCTCTCTCTCTCCCTCCCTTTCTCTTTCTCTGTCTCTCTCTCTCTTTCTGGGTGTTTCTCTCTGTCTCTCTGTCCATCTCTGTCTTTCTATGTCTGTCTCTCTCTTTCTCTCTGTCTCTGTCTCTGCCTCTCTCTCTCTCTCTCTCTCTCTCTCTCTCTCTCTCTGTCTGTCTCTCTCACTGTGTGTGTCTGTCTTCTGTCTTACTCTCCTTCTCTGCCTGTCCGTCTGTCTGTCTGTCTCTCCCTCTCTCTCCCTCCCTTTCTGTTTCTCTCTCTCTCCTGTCTGTCTGTTTCTCTCTCTGCCTCTCTCTCTCTCTGTCTGTCTCTTTCTCTGTCTGTCTGTCTCTCTCTTTCTTTTTCTCTGTCTCTCTGTCTCTCTCTGTGTCTGTCTCTCTTTCTGTGCCTATCTTCTGTCTTACTCTCTTTCTCTGGCTGTCTGCCTGTCTCTCTCTCTCTGCCTGTCTCCGTCCCTCCCTCCCTGTCTGTCTGTTTCTCTCTCTGTCTCTGTCTCTCTGTCCATCTCTGTCTGTCTCTTTCTCTTTCTCTCTCTCTGTCTCTGTCTCTCTCTCTCTCTGCCTGTCTCTCTCACTGTGTCTGTCTTCTGTCTTACTCTCTTTCTCTGCCTGCCTCTCTGTCTGTCTGTCTCTCTCCCTCCATGTCTCTCTCTCTCTCTCACTCACTCTCTCTCCGTCTCTCTCTCTTTCTGTCTGTTTCTCTCTCTGTCTGTCTCTCTCCCTCCATGTCTCTCTCTCTCTCTCTCACTCACTCTCTCTCCGTCTCTCTCTCTCTTTCTGTCTGTTTCTCTCTCTGTCTGTCTCTCTCCCTCCATGTCTCTCTCTCTCCCTCTCACTCACTCTCTCTCCGTCTCTCTCTCTCTTTCTGTCTGTTTCTCTGTCTGTCTGTCTGTCTGTCTGTCTCTCTCTCTCTCTCTCTCTCTCTCTGTTTGTCTTTCTCCCTCCCTGTCTGTCTGTCTGTCTCTCTCTCTCTGTCTCTGTCTCTGTCTCTCTCTCTTTCTCTTTCTGTCTGTTTCTCTCTATCTCTCGCTGTCCATCTCTGTCTTTCTATGTCTGTCTCTTTCTCTGTCAGTCTGTCAGACACCCCCGTGCCGGGTAGGGCCCTGCCCCTTCCACGAGAGTGAGAAGCGCGTGCTTCGGTGCTTAGAGAGGCCGAGAGGAATCTAGACAGGCGGGCCTTGCTGGGCTTCCCCACTCGGTGTACGATTTCGGGAGGTCGAGGCCGGGTCCCCGCTTGGATGCGAGGGGCATTTTCAGACTTTTCTCTCGGTCACGTGTGGCGTCCGTACTTCTCCTATTTCCCCGATAAGCTCCTCGACTTCAACATAAACTGTTAAGGCCGGACGCAACACGGCGAAACCCCGTCTCTACTAAAAATACAAAGCTGAGTCGGGAGCGGTGGGGCAGGCCCCTGTAATGCCAGCTCCTCGGGAGGCTGAGGCGGGAGAATCGCTTGAACCAGGGAAGCGGAGGCTGCAGGGAGCCGAGATCGCGCCACTGCACTACGGCCCAGGCTGTAGAGTGAGTGAGACTCGGTCTCTAAATAAATACGGAAATTAATTAATTCATTAATTCTTTTCCCTGCTGACGGACATTTGCAGGCAGGCATCGGTTGTCTTCGGGCATCACCTAGCGGCCACTGTTATTGAAAGTCGACGTGACACGGAGGGAGGTCTCGCCGACTTCACCGAGCCTGGGGCAACGGGTTTCTCTCTCTCCCTTCTGGAGGCCCCTCCCTCTCTCCCTCGTTGCCTAGGGAACCTCGCCTAGGGAACCTCCGCCCTGGCGGGGGCCCTATTGTTCTTTGATCGGCGCTTTACTTTTCTTTGTGTTTTGGCGCCTAGACTCTTCTACTTGGGCTTTGGGAAGGGTCAGTTTAATTTTCAAGTTGCCCCCCGGCTCCCCCCACTACCCACGTCCCTTCACCTTAATTTAGTGAGTCGGTTAGGTGGGTTTCCCCCAAACCGCCCCCCCCCCCCCCGCCTCCCAACACCCTGCTTGGAAACCTTCCAGAGCCACCCCGGTGTGCCTCCGTCTTCTCTCCCCTTCCCCCACCCCTTGCCGGCGATCTCATTCTTGCCAGGCTGACATTTGCATCGGTGGGCGTCAGGCCTCACTCGGGGGCCACCGTTTTTGAAGATGGGGGCGGCACGGTCCCACTTCCCCGGAGGCAGCTTGGGCCGATGGCATAGCCCCTTGACCCGCGTGGGCAAGCGGGCGGGTCTGCAGTTGTGAGGCTTTTCCCCCCGCTGCTTCCCGCCTCAGGCCTCCCTCCCTAGGAAAGCTTCACCCTGGCTGGGTCTCGGTCACCTTTTATCACGATGTTTTAGTTTCTCCGCCCTCCGGCCAGCAGAGTTTCACAATGCGAAGGGCGCCACGGCTCTAGTCTGGGCCTTCTCAGTACTTGCCCAAAATAGAAACGCTTTCTGAAAACTAATAACTTTGCTCACTTAAGATTTCCAGGGACGGCGCCTTGGCCCGTGTTTGTTGGCTTGTTTTGTTTCGTTCTGTTTTGTTTTGTTCGTGTTTTTCCTTTCTCGTATGTCTTTCTTTTCAGGTGAAGTAGAAATCCCCAGTTTTCAGGAAGACGTCTATTTTCCCCAAGACACGTTAGCTGCCGTTTTTTCCTGTTGTGAACTAGCGCTTTTGTGACTCTCTCAACGTGCAGTGAGAGCCGGTTGATGTTTACTATCCTTCATCATGACATCTTATTTTCTAGAAATCCGTAGGCGAATGCTGCTGCTGCTCTTGTTGCTGTTGTTGTTGTTGTTGTTGTCGTCGTTGCTGTTGTCGTTGTCGTTGTTGTTGTCGTTGTCGTTGTTTTCAAAGTATACCCCGGCCACCGTTTATGGGATCAAAAGCATTATAAAATATGTGTGATTATTTCTTGAGCACGCCCTTCCTCCCCCTCTCTCTGTCTCTCTGTCTGTCTCTGTCTCTCTCTTTCTCTGTCTGTCTTCTCTCTCTCTCTCTCTCTGTGTCTCTCTCTCTCTGCCTGTCTGTTTCTCTCTCTCTGCCTCTCTCTCTCTCTCTCTCTCTGCCTGTCTCTCTCACTGTGTCTGTCTTCTGTCTTACTCCCTTTCTCTGTCTGTCTGTCGGTCTCTCTCTCTCTCTCTCCCTGTCTGTATGTTTCTCTCTGTCTCTGTCTCTCTCTCTCTTTCTGTTTCTCTCTCTCCGTCTCTGTCTTTCTCTGACTGTCTCTCTCTTTCCTTCTCTCTGTCTCTCTCTGCCTGTCTCTCTCACTCTGTCTTCTGTCTTACTCTCTCTCTCTGCCTGCCTGTCTCTCTCACTCTCTCTCTCTGTGTGTCTCTCTCTCTCTTTCTGTTTCTCTCTGTCTCTCTGTCCGTCTCTGTCTTTCTCTGTCTGTCTCTTTGTCTGTCTGTCTTTGTCTTTCCTTCTCTCTGTCTCTGTCTCTCTCACTGTGTCTGTCTTCTGTCTTAGTCTCTCTCTCTCTCTCTCCCTGTCTGTCTGTCTCTCTCTCTCTCTCCCCCTGTCTGTTTCTCTCTCTCTCTCTCTCTCTGTCTTTGTCTTTCTTTCTGTCTCTGTCTCTCTCTCTCTCTCTGTGTGTCTGTCTTCTGTCTTACTGTCTTTCTCTGCCTGTCTGTCTGTCTGTCTCTCTCTGTCTGTCTCTCTCTCTCTCTCCCCCCTGTCGGCTGTTTCTCTGTCTCTGTCTGTGTCTCTCTTTCTGTCTGTTTCTCTCTGTCTGTCTTTCTCTCTCTGTCTCTTTCTCTCTGTCTCTCTGTCTGTCTCTGTCTCTCTCTCTGTCTCTCTCTCTCTGTGGGGGTGTGTGTGTGTGTGTGTATGTGTGTGTGTGTGTGTGTGTGTGTCTGCCTTCTGTCTTACTCTCTTTCTCTGCCTGTCTGTCTGCCTGTCTGTTTGTCTCTCTCTCTCTGCCTGTCTCTCTCCCTTCCTGTCTGTTTCTCTCTCTTTCTGTTTCTCTCTGTCTCTGTCCATCTCTGTCTTTCTCCGTCTGTCTCTTTATCTGTCTCTCTCCGTCTGTCTCTTTATCTGTCTCTCTCTCTCTTTCTGTCTTTCTCTCTCTGTGTATCGTTGTCTCTCTCTGTCTGTCTCTGTCTCTGTCTCTCTGTCTCTCTCTCTCTCTCTCTCTCTCTGTCTGTCTGTCCGTCTGTCTGTCTCGGTCTCTGGCTCTCGCTATCCCCCGCCCTCTCTTTTTTTGCAAAAGAAGCTCAAGTACATCTAATCTAATCCCTTACCAAGGCCTGAATTCTTCACTTCTGACATCCCAGATTTGATCTCCCTACAGAATGCTGTACAGAACTGGCGAGTTGATTTCTGGACTTGGATACCTCATAGAAACTACATATGAATAAAGATCCAATCCTAAAATCTGGGGTGGCTTCTCCCTCGACTGTCTCGAAAAATCGTACCTCTGTTCCCCTAGGATGCCGGAAGAGTTTTCTCAATGTGCATCTGCCCGTGTCCTAAGTGATCTGTGACCGAGCCCTGTCCGTCCTGTCTCAAATATGTACGTGCAAACACTTCTCTCCATTTCCACAACTACCCACGGCCCCTTGTGGAACCACTGGCTCTTTGAAAAAAATCCCAGAAGTGGTTTTGGCTTTTTGGCTAGGAGGCCTAAGCCTGCTGAGAACTTTCCTGCCCAGGATCCTGTGTGACCAAAAGTGCCTCTGCTGGGAGCTGGGATCCTCGGGACCATGCTTGCTAGCGCTGGATGAGTCTCTGGAAGGACGCACGGGACTCCGCAAAGCTGACCTGTCCCACCGAGGTCAAATGGATACCTCTGCATTGGCCCGAGGCCTCCGAAGTACATCACCGTCACCAACCGTCACCGTCAGCATCCTTGTGAGCCTGCCCAAGGCCCCGCCTCCGGGGAGACTCTTGGGAGCCCGGCCTTCGTCGGCTAAAGTCCAAAGGGATGGTGACTTCCACCCACAAGGTCCCCACTGAACGGCGAAGATGTGGAGCGTAGGTCAGAGAGGGGACCAGGAGGGGAGACGTCCCGACAGGCGACGAGTTCCCAAGGCTCTGGCCACCCCACCCACGCCCCACGCCCCACGTCCCGGGCACCCGCGGGACACCGCCGCTTTATCCCCTCCTCTGTCCACAGCCGGCCCCACCCCACCACGCAACCCACGCACACACGCTGGAGGTTCCAAAACCACACGGTGTGACTAGAGCCTGACGGAGCGAGAGCCCATTTCACGAGGTGGGAGGGGTGGGGGTGGGGTGGGTTGGGGGTTGTGGGGTCTGTGGCGAGCCCGATTCTCCCTCTTGGGTGGCTACAGGCTAGAAATGAATATCGCTTCTTGGGCGGAGGGGCTTCCTTAGGCCATCACCGCTTGCGGGACTACCTCTCAAACCCTCCCTTGAGGCCACAAAATAGATTCCACCCCACCCATCGACGTTTCCCCCGGGTGCTGGATGTATCCTGTCAAGAGACCTGAGCCTGACACCGTCGAATTAAACACCTTGACTGGCTTTGTGTGTTTGTTTGTTTCTGAGATGGAGTCTTGCTCTGTCCCCCAGGCTGGAGTGCAGTGGCGTGATTTCAGCTCACTGGAACCTTTGCCTCCTGGGTTCAAGTGATTTTCCTGTTTCAGCGCCACCATGGCCGGCTCATTTTTTTTTTTTTTTTTTTTTTTTTTTTTTTTTTTTTTTTTTTGGTAGACACGGGGTTTCACCCTCTTTCATTGGTTTTCACTGGAGATTCTAGATTCGAGCCACACCTCATTCCGTGCCACAGAGAGACTTCTTTTTTTTTTTTTTTTTAAGCGCAACGCAACATGTCTGCCTTATTTGAGTGGCTTCCTATATCATTATAATTGTGTTATAGATGAAGAAACGGTATTAAACACTGTGCTAATGATAGTGAAAGTGAAGACAAAAGAAAGGCTATCTATTTTGTGGTTAGAATAAAGTTGCTCAGTATTTAGAGCTACCTAAATACGTCAGCATTTACACTCTTCCTAGTAAAAGCTGGCCAATCTGAATAATCCTCCTTTAAACAAACACAATTTTTGATAGGGTTAAGATTTTTTTAAGAATGCGACTCCTGCAAAATAGCTGAACAGACGATACACATTTAAAAAAATAACAACACAAGGATCAACCAGACTTGGGAAAAAATCGAAAACCACACAAGTCTTATGAAGAACTGAGTTCTTAAAATAGGACGGAGAACGTAGCTATCGGAAGAGAAGGCAGTATTGGCAAGTTGATTGTTACGTTGGTCAGCAGTAGCTGGCACTATCTTTTTGGCCATCTTTCGGGCAATGTAACTACTACAGCAAAATGAGATATGATCCATTAAACAACATATTCGCAAATCAAAAAGTGTTTCAGTAATATAATGCTTCAGATTTAGAAGCAAATCAAATGATAGAACTCCACTGCTGTAATAAGTCACCCCAAAGATCACCGTATCTGACAAAATAACTACCACAGGGTTATGACTTCAGAATCATACTTTCTCTTGATATTTACTTATGTATGTATTTATTTTTTTTAATTTATTTCTCTTGAGACGGCGTCTCGCTCTGTCGCCCAGGCTGGAGTGCGATGGTGTGATCTCGGCTCACTGCAACCGCCACCTCCCTGGGTTCAAGCGATTCTCCTGCCTCAGCCTCCCGAGTAGCTGGGACTACAGGTGCCCGCCACCACGCCCAGCTAATCTTTATACTTTTAATAGAGACGGGGTTTCACCGTGTCGGCCCGGATGGTCTCGATCTCTTGACCTCGTGACCCGCCCGCCTCGGCCTCCCAAAGTGCTGGGATGACAGGCGTGAGCCACTGAGCCCGGCCTTCTCTTGACGTTTAAACTATGAAGTCAGTCCAGAGAAACGCAATAAATGTCAACGGTGAGGATGGTGTTGAGGCAGAAGTAGGACCACACTTTTTCCTATCTTATTCAGTTGATAACAATATGACCTAGGTAGTAATTTCCTATGTGCCTACTTATACACGAGTACAAAAGAGTAAAACAGAGAGACTGCTAAATTAAAGGGTACGTGAAGTTCTTCATAGTAACTCCGTAAACTGGAACACTGTCAAAAAGCAGCAGCTAGTGAATTGTTTCCATGTATTTTTCTATTATCCAATAAGTGAACTATGCTATTCCTTTCCAGTCTCCCAAGCACTTCTTGTCCCCATCACCACTTCGGTGCTCGAAGAAAAAGTAACAAATCAAGGAACACAACTAAAGAAACACACACACAAACCAAAGACAACTACAGCGTCTGCAAAAGTTTGCTAGAAGACTGAAACTGTTGAGTATAAGGATCTGGTATTCTACGATCATGAGTTCACTTCAGAGTTTGTTCAAGACATACGTTTCGTAAGGAAACATCTTAGTTAGAAGTTATTCAGCAGTAGGTACCATCCCTAAGTATTTTTCACCAAATTCGTGACAATAAAGAGCTATCTAACCAGAAAAATTAGCGAGTACCGGCACCATCCATAGGGCTTTGTCTTTACGCTTCATTAGCACTTACCATGCCTTACAATGTCTAGGATTGACCCTGATAGCATTTCGAAAACAAGCTAATGCTTTGTCCAGTTCTTCAGTGAAGACAAGCTCACGCCCTAATGCGCTATAGGCATAAGCATCATTTGGATCCACTTCGAGAGTTCTCTGGAAGAATTGAATCGCAATATCGTGTTCCCGTTGCAGACCGAAACAGTTCCCTGCAGCACACCAGGCCTCTGGCTGGCGAATTTTTATCCATGTCTGTGAAGTCTTTGGACAGAACTGAAAGAGCAACCTCTTTCGGAGGATGCCAAAGTGTTGTAGAGTAGATCTCCATGCCTTCGACTCTGTAATTCTCAATCCTCCTAACCTCTGAGAATTGTCTTTCAGCTTGCGTGGACTCTGAAAGTTTACAATAGGCCCTTCCGATTTGGCACAGTACCCAACCGGTATTGCAGTGGTGAGAAGCTAGATGGCTCAAGATGCTGATAGCTTCTTTGCCGTGGTAAGAACACAAAGCTAAATAACCTTTCCCCCTTTCACGAAGAAGGCTCATCAAGCCTTCCGCTGCTGCTTTTTGTAGATTAAAAGCCTGAATCTGAGGCGCGATTGTGGCTATTTTCCCTTCTGAAATGACGGAAGAGTCCAATTTTGTCACTTCCAGGCTATCACTTATGTTCGGTGGAGTTATTGCTCCTTTATTAGTTTTACTTTTGGTTCTTCTGTTTGGGATTTTAGGTGGAAACTTCATTTTTAATTTTCTCCTATTCTCCTCGGTTGTGGAGCTGTCACTAGTCAAGAGTCGTGAATTTCTTCGAGGCGGTGCATTTGGGGGAGATGCCATAGTGGGGCTCAATACCTGAGGTGTTGCCCTTGTCGGCGGACCAGAACTTTGTGTTTTTGCAAGGACTGGAGTTACCTTTCGGCTCTTTCCCCTCTGCGAGAAGACAGACGGTGTTCCGGTTTGGCCGATTCTGGCAACAGGCTTTTTTGAAGGGGCTCCGGTGGATGGCACGTCAATGACAGACGGTGTCTCATACCAGTGCAGTTTTGTCAATAGGGTCCGTCTCCGGGACTTGGGGTTTCTAATGGCAAAATGCCAACACTTGGGGTTAATGGACTAACAGCTGCTGGTCCTCCTAATAAACTTCGACCAGTTTTTGGTTTATGTTGAACCTGTTTAGATCATATGGAAGTTCCTGTTCCCAGTGGGACAGTATCAGGTGAAAGGACAGCTGAATCGATAGAAGACACTGGGGAGTCTGTATTCAAGGAGTACTTTGAATTGGAAGATTCTAAATTCCATCCGTTTCATTCGACGGTGTCCTGGGGTGTTTCCGTAAGAACGGTCTCGGGCTGTCTGTGACATAAACTAGGACGAGGTCCAAGTGTTGTGGCGCAACACTTGGACAGGCAGTTGCTAAAGCTCTCTAGAGAGGTGAATCAAAATGTTTGGTCAGGATCTGGCTTTTCCCCCCTATTTCACATCATGATTCAAAGGGACACCAGAGGAAAGGATTTCAACGAAGGCTCTTTTGGTCACATTCTGATCCTTTGGTAAGCCGATCTGTCTTGCAATATACATGTCCCGACGATGGAAGGGGAAAGCGAGCTGAATCACCAAACTCAGGAACGATAATATCATCGTGGCTTTTCTGCTTATGAAACACTCCACCCGATAAGATTTGATCCCCTTCTGCAAGCTTGCTGAGATCAACACAACATTTCGCAAGCAGGCATTTGCATTGCGGGGTAGTACAACTGTGTCCTTTCAAGAGTCTATATGTTTTATAGGCCTTTCCTGAGCGGTAAGAACAGGTCGCCAGTAAGAACAAGGCTTCTTCTGAGTGTACTTCTGCATAAAGGCGTTCTGCGGGGGAAACCGCATCTCGGTAGGCATAGTGGTTTAGTGCTTGCCATATAGCAGCCTGGACGGGTCCCTGCAGCACCGCCATCCTCGAGGCTCAGGCCCACTTTCTGCAGTGCCACAGGCACCCCCCCCCCCCCCATAGCGGCTCCGGCCCGGCCAGCCTCGGCTCATTTAAAGGCACCAGCCGCCGTTACCGGGGGATGGGGGAGTCCGAGACAGAATGACTTCTTTATCCTGCTGACTCTGGAAAGCCCGGCGCCTTGTGATCCATTGCAAACCGAGAGTCACCTCGTGTTTAGAACACGGATCCACTCCCAAGTTCAGTGGGGGGATGTGAGGGGTGTGGCAGGTAGGACGAAGGACTCTCTTCCTTCTGATTCGGTCTGCACAGTGGGGCCTAGGGCTGGAGCTCTCTCCGTGCGGACCGCTGACTCCCTCTACCTTGGGTTCCCTCGGCCCCACCCTGGAACGCCGGGCCTTGGCAGATTCTGGCCCTTCCTGGCCCTTCAGTCGCTGTCAGAAACCCCATCTCATGCTCGGATGCCCCGAGTGACTGTGGCTCGCACCTCTCCGGAAACATTGGAAATCTCTCCTCTACGCGCGGCCACCTGAAACCACAGGAGCTCGGGACACACGTGCTTTCGGGAGAGAATGCTGAGAGTCTCTTGCCGACTCTCTCTTGACTTGAGTTCTTCGTGGGTGCGTGGTTAAGACGTAGTGAGACCAGATGTATTAACTCAGGCCGGGTGCTGGTGGCTCACGCCTGTAACCCCAACACTTTGGGAGGCCGAGGCCGTAGGATCCCTCGAGGAATCGCCTAACCCTGGGGAGGTTGAGGTTGCAGTGAGTGAGCCATAGTTGTGTCACTGTGCTCCAGTCTGGGCGAAAGACAGAATGAGGCCCTGCCACAGGCAGGCAGGCAGGCAGGCAGGCAGAAAGACAACAGCTGTATTATGTTCTTCTCAGGGTAGGAAGCAAAAATAACAGAATACAGCACTTAATTAATTTTTTTTTTTCCCTTCGGACGGAGTTTCACTCTTGGTGCCCACGCTGGAGTGCAGTGGCACCATCTCGGCTCACCGCAACCTCCACCTCCCGCGTTCAAGCGATTCTCCTGCCTCAGCCTCCTGAGTAGCTGGGATTACAGGGAGGAGCCACCACACCCAGCTGATTTTGTATTGTTAGTAGAGACGGCATTTCTCCATGTGGGTCAGGCTGGTCTCGAACTGGCGACCCCAGTGGATCTGCCCGCCCCGGCCTCCCAAAGTGCTGGGGTGACAGGCGTGAGCCATCGTGACTGGCCGGCTACGTTTATTTATTTATTTTTTTAATTATTTTACTTTTTTTTAGTTTTCCATTTTAATCTATTTATTTATTTACATTTATTTATTTATTTATTTATTTACTTATTTATTTATTTTCGAGACAGACTCTCGCTCTGCTGCCCAGGCTGGAGTGCAGCGGCGTGATCTCGGCTCACTGCAAGCTCCGCCTCCCGGGTTCACGCCATTCTCCTGCCTCAGCCTCCCAAGTAGCTGGGACTACAGGCGCCCGCCACCGTGCCCGGCTAACTTTTTGTATTTTGAGTAGAGATGGGGTTTCACTGTGGTAGCCAGGATGGTCTCGATCTCCTGACCCCGTGATCCGTCCACCTCGGCCTCCCAAAGTGCTGGGATGACAGGCGTGAGCCACCGCCCCCGGCCTATTTATCTATTTATTAACTTTGAGTCCAGGTTATGAAACCAGTTAGTTTTTGTAATTTTTTTTTTTTTTTTTTTTTTTTGAGACGAGGTTTCACCGTGTTGCCAAGGCTTGGACCGAGGGATCCACCGGCCCTCGGCCTCCCAAAAGTGCGGGGATGACAGGCGCGAGCCTACCGCGCCCGGACCCCCCCTTTCCCCTTCCCCCGCTTGTCTTCCCGACAGACAGTTTCACGGCAGAGCGTTTGGCTGGCGTGCTTAAACTCATTCTAAATAGAAATTTGGGACGTCAGCTTCTGGCCTCACGGACTCTGAGCCGAGGAGTCCCCTGGTCTGTCTATCACAGGACCGTACACGTAAGGAGGAGAAAAATCGTAACGTTCAAAGTCAGTCATTTTGTGATACAGAAATACACGGATTCACCCAAAACACAGAAAGCAGTCTTTTAGAAATGGCCTTAGCCCTGGTGTCCGTGCCAGTGATTCTTTTCGGTTTGGACCTTGACTGAGAGGATTCCCAGTCGGTCTCTCGTCTCTGGACGGAAGTTCCAGATGATCCGATGGGTGGGGGACTTAGGCTGCGTCCCCCCAGGAGCCCTGGTCGATTAGTTGTGGGGATCGCCTTGGAGGGCGCGGTGACCCACTGTGCTGTGGGAGCCTCCATCCTTCCCCCCACCCCCTCCCCAGGGGATCCCAATTCATTCCGGGCTGACACGCTCACTGGCAGGCGTCGGGCATCACCTAGCGGTCACTGTTACTCTGAAAACGGAGGCCTCACAGAGGAAGGGAGCACCAGGCCGCCTGCGCACAGCCTGGGGCAACTGTGTCTTCTCCACCGCCCCCGCCCCCACCTCCAAGTTCCTCCCTCCCTTGTTGCCTAGGAAATCGCCACTTTGACGACCGGGTCTGATTGACCTTTGATCAGGCAAAAACGAACAAACAGATAAATAAATAAAATAACACAAAAGTAACTAACTAAATAAAATAAGTCAATACAACCCATTACAATACAATAAGATACGATACGATAGGATGCGATAGGATACGATAGGATACAATACAATACGATACGATACAATACAATACAATACAATACAATACAATACAATACAATACAATACAATACGCCGGGCGCGGTGGCTCATGCCTGTCATCCCGTCACTTTGGGATGCCGAGGTGGACGCATCACCTGAAGTCGGGAGTTGGAGACAAGCCCGACCAACATGGAGAAATCCCGTCTCAATTGAAAATACAAAACTAGCCGGGCGCGGTGGCACATGCCTATAATCCCAGCTGCTAGGAAGGCTGAGGCAGGAGAATCGCTTGAACCTGGGAAGCGGAGGTTGCAGTGAGCCGAGATTGCGCCATCGCACTCCAGTCTGAGCAACAAGAGCGAAACTCCGTCTCAAAAATAAATACATAAATAAATACATACATACATACATACATACATACATACATAAATTAAAATAAATAAATAAAATAAAATAAATAAATGGGCCCTGCGCGGTGGCTCAAGCCTGTCATCCCCTCACTTTGGGAGGCCAAGGCCGGTGGATCAAGAGGCGGTCAGACCAACAGGGCCAGTATGGTGAAACCCCGTCTCTACTCACAATACACAACATTAGCCGGGCGCTGTGCTGTGCTGTACTGTCTGTAATCCCAGCTACTCGGGAGGCCGAGCTGAGGCAGGAGAATCGCTTGAACCTGGGAGGCGGAGGTTGCAGTGAGCCGAGATCGCGCCACTGCAACCCAGCCTGGGCGACAGAGCGAGACTCCGTCTCCAAAAAATGAAAATGAAAATGAAACGCAACAAAATAATTAAAAAGTGAGTTTCTGGGGAAAAAGAAGAAAAGAAAAAAGAAAAAAACAACAAAACAGAACAACCCCACCGTGACATACACGTACGCCTCTCGCCTTTCGAGGCCTCAAACACGTTAGGAATTATGCGTGATTTCTTTTTTTAACTTCATTTTATGTTATTATCATGATTGATGTTTCGAGACGGAGTCTCGGAGGCCCGCCCTCCCTGGTTGCCCAGACAACCCCGGGAGACAGACCCTGGCTGGGCCCGATTGTTCTTCTCCTTGGTCAGGGGTTTCCTTGTCTTTCTTCGTGTCTTTAACCCGCGTGGACTCTTCCGCTCGGGTTTGACAGATGGCAGCTCCACTTTAGGCCTTGTTGTTGTTGGGGACTTTCCTGATTCTCCCCAGATGTAGTGAAAGCAGGTAGATTTGCCTTGCCTGGACTTGCCTGGCCTTGCCTTTTCTTTCTTTCTTTCTTTATTACTTTCTCTTTTTCTTCTTCTTCTTCTTCTTCTTCTTCTTCTTCTTCTTCTTCTTCTTCTTCTTTTTTTTTTTGAGACAGAGTTTCACTCTTGTTGCCCAGGCTAGAGGGCAATGGTGCGATCTCGGCTCACCGCACCCTCCGCCTCCCAGGTTCAAGCGATTCTCCTGCCTCAGCCTCCTGATTAGCTGGGATTACAGGCATGGGCCACCGTGCCTGGCTGATGTTTGTACTTTTAGTAGAGACGGTGTTTTTCCATGTTGGTCAGGCTGGTCTCCCACTCCCAACCTCAGGTGGTCCGCCTGCCTTAGCCTCCCAAAGTGCTGGGATGACAGGCGTGAGCCACCGCGCCCAGCCTCTCTCTCTCTCTCTCTCTCTCTCTCTCTCTCTCTCTCTCTCGCTCGCTTGCTTGCTTGCTTTCGTGCTTTCTTGCTTTCCCGTTTTCTTGCTTTCTTTCTTTCTTTCGTTTCTTTCATGCTTGCTTTCTTGCTTGCTTGCTTGCTTTCGTGCTTTCTTGCTTTCCTGTTTTCTTTCTTTCTTTCTTTCTTTTGTTTCTTTCTTGCTTGCTTTCTTGCTTGCTTGCTTTCGTGCTTTCTTGTTTTCTCGATTTCTTTCTTTCTTTTGTTTCTTTCCTGCTTGCTTTCTTGCTTGATTGCTTTCGTGCTTTCTTGCTTTCTTGTTTTCTTTCTTTCTTTTGTTTCTTTCTTTCTTGCTTCCTTGTTTTCTTGCTTTCTTGCTTGCTTGCTTTCGTGCTTTCTTGTTTTCTTGCTTTCTTTCTTTTGTTTCTTTCTTGCTTGCTTTCTTGCTTCCTTGTTTTCTTGCTTTCTTGCTTGCTTGCTTTCGTGCTTTCTTTCTTGCTTTCTTTTCTTTCTTTCTTTTCTTTTTCTTTCTTTCTTGCTTTCTTTTCTTTCATTCATTCATTCTTTCTTTCTTTCCTTTCTTTCTTTCTTTCTTTCTATCTTTCTTTCTTTCTTTCTTTCTGTTTCGTCCTTTTGAGACAGAGTTTCACTCTTGTTTCCACGGCTAGAGTGCAATGGCGCGATCTTGGCTCACCGCACCTTCCGCCTCCCGGGTTCGAGCGCTTCTCCTGCCTCAGCCTCCCGATTAGCGGGGATTACAGGGAGGCACCCCCACGCCTGGCTTGGCTGATGTTTGTGTTTTTAGTAGGCACGCCGTGTCTCTCCATGTTGCTCAGGCTGGTCTCCAACTCCCGACCTCCTGTGATGCGCCCACCTCGGCCTCTCGAAGTGCTGGGATGACGGGCGTGAGCCACCGTGCCCGGCCTGTTGACTCATTTCGCTTTTTTATTTCTTTCGTTTCCACGCGTTTACTTATATGTATTAATGTAAACGTTTCTGTACGCTTATATGCAAACAACGACAACGTGTATCTCTGCATTGAATACTCTTGCGTATGGTAAATACGTATCGGTTGTATGGAAATAGACTTCTGTATGATAGATGTAGGTGTCTGTGTTATACAAATAAATACACATCGCTCTATAAAGAAGGGATCGTCGATAAAGACGTTTATTTTACGTATGAAAAGCGTCGTATTTATGTGTGTAAATGAACGAGCGTACGTAGTTATCTCTGTTTTCTTTCTTCCTCTCCTTCGTGTTTTTCTTCCTTCCTTTCTTCCTTTCTCTCCTTCTTTAGGTTTTTCTTCCTCTCTTCCTTTCCTTCTTTCTCTCTTTCTGTCCTTTTTTCCTTCGTGCTTTATTTCTCTTTCGTTCCCTGTGTTTCCTTCTTTTTTCTTTCCTCTCTGTTTCTTTTTCCCTTCTTTCCTTCGTTTCTTTCCTCATTCTTTCTCTCTTTTTCGTGTTTCTTTCCTTCCCGTCTGTCTTTTAAAAAATGGAGTGTTTCAGAAGTTTACTTTGTGTATCTACGTTTTCTAAATTGTCTCTCTTTTCTCCATTGTCTTCCTCCCTCCCTCCCTCCCTCCCTCCCTGCTCCCTTCCCTCCCTCCTTCCCTTTCGCCATCTGTCTCTTTTCCCCACTCCCCTCCCCCCGTCTGTCTCTGCGTGGATTCCGGAAGAGCCTACCCATTCTGCCTCTCCGTGTGTCTGCAGCGACCCGCGACCGAGTCCTTGTGTGTTCTTTCTCCCTCCCTCACTCCCTCCCTCCCTCCCTCCCTGCTTCCGAGAGGCATCTCCAAACACCCACGCGCCGTGGGTTGTCTTCTGACTCTGTCGCGGTCGAGGCAGAGACGCGTTTTGGGCACCGTTTGTGTGGGGTTGGGGCAGAGGGGCTGCGTTTTCGGCCTCGGGAAGAGCTTCTCGACTCACGGTTTCGCTTTCGCGGTCCACGGGCCGCCCTGCCAGCCGGATCTGTCTCGCTGACGTCCGCGGCGGTTGTCGGGCTCCATCTGGCGGCCGCTTTGAGATCGTGCTCTCGGCTTCCGGAGCTGCGGTGGCAGCTGCCGAGGGAGGGGACCGTCCCCGCTGTGAGCTAGGCAGAGCTCCGGAAAGCCCGCGGTCGTCAGCCCGGCTGGCCCGGTGGCGCCAGAGCTGTGGCGCGTCGCTTGTGAGTCACAGCTCTGGCGTGCAGGTTTATGTGGGGGAGAGGCTGTCGCTGCGCTTCTGGGCCCGCGGCGGGCGTGGGGCTGCCCGGGCCGGTCGACCAGCGCGCCGTAGCTCCCGAGGCCCGAGCCGCGACCCGCGGGGACCCGCCGCGCGTGGCGCGGGAGGCTGGGGACGCCCTTCCCGGCCCGGTCGCGGGTCCGCGCTCATCCTGGCCGTCTGAGGCGGCGGCCGAATTCGTTTCCGAGTCCCCGTGGGGAGCCGGGGACCGTCCCGCCCCCGTCCCCCGGGTGCCGGGGAGCGGTCCCCGGGCCGGGCCGCGGTCCCTCTGCCGCGATCCTTTCTGGCGAGTCCCCGTGCGGAGTCGGAGAGCGCTCCCTGAGCGCGCGTGCGGCCCGAGAGGTCGCGCCTGGCCGGCCTTCGGTCCCTCGTGTGTCCCGGTCGTAGGAGGGGCCGGCCGAAAATGCTTCCGGCTCCCGCTCTGGAGACACGGGCCGGCCCCCTGCGTGTGGCACGGGCGGCCGGGAGGGCGTCCCCGGCCCGGCGCTGCTCCCGCGTGTGTCCTGGGGTTGACCAGAGGGCCCCGGGCGCTCCGTGTGTGGCTGCGATGGTGGCGTTTTTGGGGACAGGTGTCCGTGTCGCGCGTCGCCTGGGCCGGCGGCGTGGTCGGTGACGCGACCTCCCGGCCCCGGGGGAGGTATATCTTTCGCTCCGAGTCGGCATTTTGGGCCGCCGGGTTATTGCTGACACGCTGTCCTCTGGCGACCTGTCGCTGGAGAGGTTGGGCCTCCGGATGCGCGCGGGGCTCTGGCCTACCGGTGACCCGGCTAGCCGGCCGCGCTCCTGCTTGAGCCGCCTGCCGGGGCCCGCGGGCCTGCTGTTCTCTCGCGCGTCCGAGCGTCCCGACTCCCGGTGCCGGCCCGGGTCCGGGTCTCTGACCCACCCGGGGGCGGCGGGGAAGGCGGCGAGGGCCACCGTGCCCCCGTGCGCTCTCCGCTGCGGGCGCCCGGGGCGGCCGCGACAACCCCACCCCGCTGGCTCCGTGCCGTGCGTGTCAGGCGTTCTCGTCTCCGCGGGGTTGTCCGCCGCCCCTTCCCCGGAGTGGGGGGTTGGCCGGAGCCGATCGGCTCGCTGGCCGGCCGGCCGGCCTCCGCTCCCGGGGGGCTCTTCGTGATCGATGTGGTGACGTCGTGCTCTCCCGGGCCGGGTCCGAGCCGCGACGGGCGAGGGGCGGACGTTCGTGGCGAACGGGACCGTCCTTCTCGCTCCGCCCCGCGGGGGTCCCCTCGTCTCTCCTCTCCCCGCCCGCCGGCGGTGCGTGTGGGAAGGCGTGGGGTGCGGACCCCGGCCCGACCTCGCCGTCCCGCCCGCCGCCTTCTGCGTCGCGGGGCGGGCCGGCGGGGTCCTCTGACGCGGCAGACAGCCCTCGCTGTCGCCTCCAGTGGTTGTCGACTTGCGGGCGGCCCCCCTCCGCGGCGGTGGGGGTGCCGTCCCGCCGGCCCGTCGTGCTGCCCTCTCGGGGGGTTTGCGCGAGCGTCGGCTCCGCCTGGGCCCTTGCGGTGCTCCTGGAGCGCTCCGGGTTGTCCCTCAGGTGCCCGAGGCCGAACGGTGGTGTGTCGTTCCCGCCCCCGGCGCCCCCTCCTCCGGTCGCCGCCGCGGTGTCCGCGCGTGGGTCCTGAGGGAGCTCGTCGGTGTGGGGTTCGAGGCGGTTTGAGTGAGACGAGACGAGACGCGCCCCTCCCACGCGGGGAAGGGCGCCCGCCTGCTCTCGGTGAGCGCACGTCCCGTGCTCCCCTCTGGCGGGTGCGCGCGGGCCGTGTGAGCGATCGCGGTGGGTTCGGGCCGGTGTGACGCGTGCGCCGGCCGGCCGCCGAGGGGCTGCCGTTCTGCCTCCGACCGGTCGTGTGTGGGTTGACTTCGGAGGCGCTCTGCCTCGGAAGGAAGGAGGTGGGTGGACGGGGGGGCCTGGTGGGGTTGCGCGCACGCGCGCACCGGCCGGGCCCCCGCCCTGAACGCGAACGCTCGAGGTGGCCGCGCGCAGGTGTTTCCTCGTACCGCAGGGCCCCCTCCCTTCCCCAGGCGTCCCTCGGCGCCTCTGCGGGCCCGAGGAGGAGCGGCTGGCGGGTGGGGGGAGTGTGACCCACCCTCGGTGAGAAAAGCCTTCTCTAGCGATCTGAGAGGCGTGCCTTGGGGGTACCGGATCCCCCGGGCCGCCGCCTCTGTCTCTGCCTCCGTTATGGTAGCGCTGCCGTAGCGACCCGCTCGCAGAGGACCCTCCTCCGCTTCCCCCTCGACGGGGTTGGGGGGGAGAAGCGAGGGTTCCGCCGGCCACCGCGGTGGTGGCCGAGTGCGGCTCGTCGCCTACTGTGGCCCGCGCCTCCCCCTTCCGAGTCGGGGGAGGATCCCGCCGGGCCGGGCCCGGCGTTCCCAGCGGGTTGGGACGCGGCGGCCGGCGGGCGGTGGGTGTGCGCGCCCGGCGCTCTGTCCGGCGCGTGACCCCCTCCGCCGCGAGTCGGCTCTCCGCCCGCTCCCGTGCCGAGTCGTGACCGGTGCCGACGACCGCGTTTGCGTGGCACGGGGTCGGGCCCGCCTGGCCCTGGGAAAGCGTCCCACGGTGGGGGCGCGCCGGTCTCCCGGAGCGGGACCGGGTCGGAGGATGGACGAGAATCACGAGCGACGGTGGTGCGGGCGTGTCGGGTTCGTGGCTGCGGTCGCTCCGGGGCCCCCGGTGGCGGGGCCCCGGGGCTCGCGAGGCGGTTCTCGGTGGGGGCCGAGGGCCGTCCGGCGTCCCAGGCGGGGCGCCGCGGGACCGCCCTCGTGTCTGTGGCGGTGGGATCCCGCGGCCGTGTTTTCCTGGTGGCCCGGCCGTGCCTGAGGTTTCTCCCCGAGCCGCCGCCTCTGCGGGCTCCCGGGTGCCCTTGCCCTCGCGGTCCCCGGCCCTCGCCCGTCTGTGCCCTCTTCCCCGCCCGCCGCCCGCCGATCCTCTTCTTCCCCCCGAGCGGCTCACCGGCTTCACGTCCGTTGGTGGCCCCGCCTGGGACCGAACCCGGCACCGCCTCGTGGGGCGCCGCCGCCGGCCACTGATCGGCCCGGCGTCCGCGTCCCCCGGCGCGCGCCTTGGGGACCGGGTCGGTGGCGCCCCGCGTGGGGCCCGGTGGGCTTCCCGGAGGGTTCCGGGGGTCGGCCTGCGGCGCGTGCGGGGGAGGAGACGGTTCCGGGGGACCGGCCGCGACTGCGGCGGCGGTGGTGGGGGCAGCCGCGGGGATCGCCGAGGGCCGGTCGGCCGCCCCGGGTGCCGCGCGGTGCCGCCGGCGGCGGTGAGGCCCCGCGCGTGTGTCCCGGCCGCGGTCGGCCGCGCTCGAGGGGTCCCCGTGGCGTCCCCTTCCCCGCCGGCCGCCTTTCTCGCGCCTTCCCCGTCGCCCCGGCCTCGCCCGTGGTCTCTCGTCTTCTCCCGGCCCGCTCTTCCGAACCGGGTCGGCGCGTCCCCCGGGTGCGCCTCGCTTCCCGGGCCTGCCGCGGCCCTTCCCCGAGGCGTCCGTCCCGGGCGTCGGCGTCGGGGAGAGCCCGTCCTCCCCGCGTGGCGTCGCCCCGTTCGGCGCGCGCGTGCGCCCGAGCGCGGCCCGGTGGTCCCTGCCGGACAGGCGTTCGTGCGACGTGTGGCGTGGGTCGACCTCCGCCTTGCCGGTCGCTCGCCCTTTCCCCGGGTCGGGGGGTGGGGCCCGGGCCGGGGCCTCGGCCCCGGTCGCGGTCCCCCGTCCCGGGCGGGGGCGGGCGCGCCGGCCGGCCTCGGTCGGCCCTCCCTTGGCCGTCGTGTGGCGTGTGCCACCCCTGCGCCCGCGCCCGCCGGCGGGGCTCGGAGCCGGGCTTCGGCCGGGCCCCGGGCCCTCGACCGGACCGGTGCGCGGGCGCTGCGGCCGCACGGCGCGACTGTCCCCGGGCCGGGCACCGCGGTCCGCCTCTCGCTCGCCGCCCGGACGTCGGGGCCGCCCCGCGGGGCGGGCGGAGCGCCGTCCCCGCCTCGCCGCCGCCCGCGGGCGCCGGCCGCGCGCGCGCGCGCGTGGCCGCCGGTCCCTCCCGGCCGCCGGGCGCGGGTCGGGCCGTCCGCCTCCTCGCGGGCGGGCGCGACGAAGAAGCGTCGCGGGTCTGTGGCGCGGGGCCCCGGTGGTCGTGTCGCGTGGGGGGCGGGTGGTTGGGGCGTCCGGTTCGCCGCGCCCCGCCCCGGCCCCACCGGTCCCGGCCGCCGCCCCCGCGCCCGCTCGCTCCCTCCCGTCCGCCCGTCCGCGGCCCGTCCGTCCGTCCGTCGTCCTCCTCGCTTGCGGGGCGCCGGGCCCGTCCTCGCGAGGCCCCCCGGCCGGCCGTCCGGCCGCGTCGGGGCCTCGCCGCGCTCTACCTTACCTACCTGGTTGATCCTGCCAGTAGCATATGCTTGTCTCAAAGATTAAGCCATGCATGTCTGAGTACGCACGGCCGGTACAGTGAAACTGCGAATGGCTCATTAAATCAGTTATGGTTCCTTTGGTCGCTCGCTCCTCTCCTACTTGGATAACTGTGGTAATTCTAGAGCTAATACATGCCGACGGGCGCTGACCCCCTTCGCGGGGGGGATGCGTGCATTTATCAGATCAAAACCAACCCGGTCAGCCCCTCTCCGGCCCCGGCCGGGGGGCGGGCGCCGGCGGCTTTGGTGACTCTAGATAACCTCGGGCCGATCGCACGCCCCCCGTGGCGGCGACGACCCATTCGAACGTCTGCCCTATCAACTTTCGATGGTAGTCGCCGTGCCTACCATGGTGACCACGGGTGACGGGGAATCAGGGTTCGATTCCGGAGAGGGAGCCTGAGAAACGGCTACCACATCCAAGGAAGGCAGCAGGCGCGCAAATTACCCACTCCCGACCCGGGGAGGTAGTGACGAAAAATAACAATACAGGACTCTTTCGAGGCCCTGTAATTGGAATGAGTCCACTTTAAATCCTTTAACGAGGATCCATTGGAGGGCAAGTCTGGTGCCAGCAGCCGCGGTAATTCCAGCTCCAATAGCGTATATTAAAGTTGCTGCAGTTAAAAAGCTCGTAGTTGGATCTTGGGAGCGGGCGGGCGGTCCGCCGCGAGGCGAGCCACCGCCCGTCCCCGCCCCTTGCCTCTCGGCGCCCCCTCGATGCTCTTAGCTGAGTGTCCCGCGGGGCCCGAAGCGTTTACTTTGAAAAAATTAGAGTGTTCAAAGCAGGCCCGAGCCGCCTGGATACCGCAGCTAGGAATAATGGAATAGGACCGCGGTTCTATTTTGTTGGTTTTCGGAACTGAGGCCATGATTAAGAGGGACGGCCGGGGGCATTCGTATTGCGCCGCTAGAGGTGAAATTCTTGGACCGGCGCAAGACGGACCAGAGCGAAAGCATTTGCCAAGAATGTTTTCATTAATCAAGAACGAAAGTCGGAGGTTCGAAGACGATCAGATACCGTCGTAGTTCCGACCATAAACGATGCCGACCGGCGATGCGGCGGCGTTATTCCCATGACCCGCCGGGCAGCTTCCGGGAAACCAAAGTCTTTGGGTTCCGGGGGGAGTATGGTTGCAAAGCTGAAACTTAAAGGAATTGACGGAAGGGCACCACCAGGAGTGGAGCCTGCGGCTTAATTTGACTCAACACGGGAAACCTCACCCGGCCCGGACACGGACAGGATTGACAGATTGATAGCTCTTTCTCGATTCCGTGGGTGGTGGTGCATGGCCGTTCTTAGTTGGTGGAGCGATTTGTCTGGTTAATTCCGATAACGAACGAGACTCTGGCATGCTAACTAGTTACGCGACCCCCGAGCGGTCGGCGTCCCCCAACTTCTTAGAGGGACAAGTGGCGTTCAGCCACCCGAGATTGAGCAATAACAGGTCTGTGATGCCCTTAGATGTCCGGGGCTGCACGCGCGCTACACTGACTGGCTCAGCGTGTGCCTACCCTACGCCGGCAGGCGCGGGTAACCCGTTGAACCCCATTCGTGATGGGGATCGGGGATTGCAATTATTCCCCATGAACGAGGAATTCCCAGTAAGTGCGGGTCATAAGCTTGCGTTGATTAAGTCCCTGCCCTTTGTACACACCGCCCGTCGCTACTACCGATTGGATGGTTTAGTGAGGCCCTCGGATCGGCCCCGCCGGGGTCGGCCCACGGCCCTGGCGGAGCGCTGAGAAGACGGTCGAACTTGACTATCTAGAGGAAGTAAAAGTCGTAACAAGGTTTCCGTAGGTGAACCTGCGGAAGGATCATTAACGGAGCCCGGAGGGCGAGGCCCGCGGCGGCGCCGCCGCCGCCGCGCGCTTCCCTCCGCACACCCACCCCCCCACCGCGACGCGGCGCGTGCGCGGGCGGGGCCCGCGTGCCCGTTCGTTCGCTCGCTCGTTCGTTCGCCGCCCGGCCCCGCCGGCCGCGAGAGCCGGAGAACTCGGGAGGGAGACGGGGGAGAGAGAGAGAGAGAGAGAAAGAGAAAGAAGGGCGTGTCGTTGGTGTGCGCGTGTCGTGGGGCCGGCGGGCGGCGGGGAGCGGTCCCCGGCCGCGGCCCCGACGACGTGGGTGTCGGCGGGCGCGGGGGCGGTTCTCGGCGGCGTCGCGGCGGGTCTGGGGGGGTCTCGGTGCCCTCCTCCCCGCCGGGGCCCGTCGTCCGGCCCCGCCGCGCCGGCTCCCCGTCTTCGGGGCCGGCCGGATTCCCGTCGCCTCCGCCGCGCCGCTCCGCGCCGCCGGGCACGGCCCCGCTCGCTCTCCCCGGCCTTCCCGCTAGGGCGTCTCGAGGGTCGGGGGCCGGACGCCGGTCCCCTCCCCCGCCTCCTCGTCCGCCCCCCCGCCGTCCAGGTACCTAGCGCGTTCCGGCGCGGAGGTTTAAAGACCCCTTGGGGGGATCGCCCGTCCGCCCGTGGGTCGGGGGCGGTGGTGGGCCCGCGGGGGAGTCCCGTCGGGAGGGGCCCGGCCCCTCCCGCGCCTCCACCGCGGACTCCGCTCCCCGGCCGGGGCCGCGCCGCCGCCGCCGCCGCGGCGGCCGTCGGGTGGGGGCTTTACCCGGCGGCCGTCGCGCGCCTGCCGCGCGTGTGGCGTGCGCCCCGCGCCGTGGGGGCGGGAACCCCCGGGCGCCTGTGGGGTGGTGTCCGCGCTCGCCCCCGCGTGGGCGGCGCGCGCCTCCCCGTGGTGTGAAACCTTCCGACCCCTCTCCGGAGTCCGGTCCCGTTTGCTGTCTCGTCTGGCCGGCCTGAGGCAACCCCCTCTCCTCTTGGGCGGGGGGGGGGGGGACGTGCCGCGCCAGGAAGGGCCTCCTCCCGGTGCGTCGTCGGGAGCGCCCTCGCCAAATCGACCTCGTACGACTCTTAGCGGTGGATCACTCGGCTCGTGCGTCGATGAAGAACGCAGCTAGCTGCGAGAATTAATGTGAATTGCAGGACACATTGATCATCGACACTTCGAACGCACTTGCGGCCCCGGGTTCCTCCCGGGGCTACGCCTGTCTGAGCGTCGCTTGCCGATCAATCGCCCCCGGGGGTGCCTCCGGGCTCCTCGGGGTGCGCGGCTGGGGGTTCCCTCGCAGGGCCCGCCGGGGGCCCTCCGTCCCCCTAAGCGCAGACCCGGCGGCGTCCGCCCTCCTCTTGCCGCCGCGCCCGCCCCTTCCCCCTCCCCCCGCGGGCCCTGCGTGGTCACGCGTCGGGTGGCGGGGGGGAGAGGGGGGCGCGCCCGGCTGAGAGAGACGGGGAGGGCGGCGCCGCCGCCGCCCGCGAAGACGGAGAGGGAAAGAGAGAGCCGGCTCGGGCCGAGTTCCCGTGGCCGCCGCCTGCGGTCCGGGTTCCTCCCTCGGGGGGCTCCCTCGCGCCGCGCGCGGCTCGGGGTTCGGGGTTCGTCGGCCCCGGCCGGGTGGAAGGTCCCGTGCCCGTCGTCGTCGTCGTCGTCGCGCGTCGTCGGCGGTGGGGGCGTGTTGCGTGCGGTGTGGTGGTGGGGGAGGAGGAAGGCGGGTCCGGAAGGGGAAGGGTGCCGGCGGGGAGAGAGGGTCGGGGGAGCGCGTCCCGGTCGCCGCGGTTCGCCGCCCGCCCCCGGTGGCGGCCCGGCGTCCGGCCGACCGCCGCTCCCGCGCCCCTCCTCCTCCCCGCCGCCCCTCCTCCGAGGCCCCGCCCGTCCTCCTCGCCCTCCCCGCGCGTACGCGCGCCCGCCCGCCCGGCTCGCCTCGCGGCGCGTCGGCCGGGGCCGGGAGCCCGCCCCGCGGCCCGCCCGGCCGCGCCCGTGGCCGCGGCGCCGGGGTTCGCGTGTCCCCGGCGGCGACCCGCGGGACGCCGCGGTGTCGTCCGCCGTCGCGCGCCCGCCTCCGGCTCGCGGCCGCGCCGCGCCGCGCCGGGGCCCCGTCCCGAGCTTCCGCGTCGGGGCGGGGCGGCTCCGCCGCCGCGTCCTCGGACCCGTCCCCCCGACCTCCGCGGGGGAGACGGGTCGGGGCGTGCGGCGCCCGTCCCGCCCCCGGCCCGTGCCCCTCCCTCCGGTCGTCCCGCTCCGGCGGGGCGGCGCGGGGGTGCCGCCGGCCGCGCGCTCTCTCTCCCGTCGCCTCTCCCCCTCGCCGGGCCCGTCTCCCGACGGAGCGTCGGGCGGGCGGTCGGGCCGGCGCGATTCCGTCCGTCCGTCCGCCGAGCGGCCCGTCCCCCTCCGAGACGCGACCTCAGATCAGACGTGGCGACCCGCTGAATTTAAGCATATTAGTCAGCGGAGGAGAAGAAACTAACCAGGATTCCCTCAGTAACGGCGAGTGAACAGGGAAGAGCCCAGCGCCGAATCCCCGCCCCGCGGCGGGGCGCGGGACATGTGGCGTACGGAAGACCCGCTCCCCGGCGCCGCTCGTGGGGGGCCCAAGTCCTTCTGATCGAGGCCCAGCCCGTGGACGGTGTGAGGCCGGTAGCGGCCCCCGGCGCGCCGGGCCCGGGTCTTCCCGGAGTCGGGTTGCTTGGGAATGCAGCCCAAAGCGGGTGGTAAACTCCATCTAAGGCTAAATACCGGCACGAGACCGATAGTCAACAAGTACCGTAAGGGAAAGTTGAAAAGAACTTTGAAGAGAGAGTTCAAGAGGGCGTGAAACCGTTAAGAGGTAAACGGGTGGGGTCCGCGCAGTCCGCCCGGAGGATTCAACCCGGCGGCGGGTCCGGCCGTGTCGGCGGCCCGGCGGATCTTTCCCGCCCCCCGTTCCTCCCGACCCCTCCACCCGCCCTCCCTTCCCCCGCCGCCCCTCCTCCTCCTCCCCGGAGGGGGCGGGCTCCGGCGGGTGCGGGGGTGGGCGGGCGGGGCCGGGGGTGGGGTCGGCGGGGGACCGTCCCCCGACCGGCGACCGGCCGCCGCCGGGCGCATTTCCACCGCGGCGGTGCGCCGCGACCGGCTCCGGGACGGCTGGGAAGGCCCGGCGGGGAAGGTGGCTCGGGGGGCCCCGTCCGTCCGTCCGTCCGTCCTCCTCCTCCCCCGTCTCCGCCCCCCGGCCCCGCGTCCTCCCTCGGGAGGGCGCGCGGGTCGGGGCGGCGGCGGCGGCGGCGGTGGCGGCGGCGGCGGCGGCGGCGGGACCGAAACCCCCCCCGAGTGTTACAGCCCCCCCGGCAGCAGCACTCGCCGAATCCCGGGGCCGAGGGAGCGAGACCCGTCGCCGCGCTCTCCCCCCTCCCGGCGCCCACCCCCGCGGGGAATCCCCCGCGAGGGGGGTCTCCCCCGCGGGGGCGCGCCGGCGTCTCCTCGTGGGGGGGCCGGGCCACCCCTCCCACGGCGCGACCGCTCTCCCACCCCTCCTCCCCGCGCCCCCGCCCCGGCGACGGGGGGGGTGCCGCGCGCGGGTCGGGGGGCGGGGCGGACTGTCCCCAGTGCGCCCCGGGCGGGTCGCGCCGTCGGGCCCGGGGGAGGTTCTCTCGGGGCCACGCGCGCGTCCCCCGAAGAGGGGGACGGCGGAGCGAGCGCACGGGGTCGGCGGCGACGTCGGCTACCCACCCGACCCGTCTTGAAACACGGACCAAGGAGTCTAACACGTGCGCGAGTCGGGGGCTCGCACGAAAGCCGCCGTGGCGCAATGAAGGTGAAGGCCGGCGCGCTCGCCGGCCGAGGTGGGATCCCGAGGCCTCTCCAGTCCGCCGAGGGCGCACCACCGGCCCGTCTCGCCCGCCGCGCCGGGGAGGTGGAGCACGAGCGCACGTGTTAGGACCCGAAAGATGGTGAACTATGCCTGGGCAGGGCGAAGCCAGAGGAAACTCTGGTGGAGGTCCGTAGCGGTCCTGACGTGCAAATCGGTCGTCCGACCTGGGTATAGGGGCGAAAGACTAATCGAACCATCTAGTAGCTGGTTCCCTCCGAAGTTTCCCTCAGGATAGCTGGCGCTCTCGCAGACCCGACGCACCCCCGCCACGCAGTTTTATCCGGTAAAGCGAATGATTAGAGGTCTTGGGGCCGAAACGATCTCAACCTATTCTCAAACTTTAAATGGGTAAGAAGCCCGGCTCGCTGGCGTGGAGCCGGGCGTGGAATGCGAGTGCCTAGTGGGCCACTTTTGGTAAGCAGAACTGGCGCTGCGGGATGAACCGAACGCCGGGTTAAGGCGCCCGATGCCGACGCTCATCAGACCCCAGAAAAGGTGTTGGTTGATATAGACAGCAGGACGGTGGCCATGGAAGTCGGAATCCGCTAAGGAGTGTGTAACAACTCACCTGCCGAATCAACTAGCCCTGAAAATGGATGGCGCTGGAGCGTCGGGCCCATACCCGGCCGTCGCCGGCAGTCGAGAGTGGACGGGAGCGGCGGGGGCGGCGCGCGCGCGCGCGCGTGTGGTGTGCGTCGGAGGGCGGCGGCGGCGGCGGCGGCGGGGGTGTGGGGTCCTTCCCCCGCCCCCCCCCCCACGCCTCCTCCCCTCCTCCCGCCCACGCCCCGCTCCCCGCCCCCGGAGCCCCGCGGACGCTACGCCGCGACGAGTAGGAGGGCCGCTGCGGTGAGCCTTGAAGCCTAGGGCGCGGGCCCGGGTGGAGCCGCCGCAGGTGCAGATCTTGGTGGTAGTAGCAAATATTCAAACGAGAACTTTGAAGGCCGAAGTGGAGAAGGGTTCCATGTGAACAGCAGTTGAACATGGGTCAGTCGGTCCTGAGAGATGGGCGAGCGCCGTTCCGAAGGGACGGGCGATGGCCTCCGTTGCCCTCGGCCGATCGAAAGGGAGTCGGGTTCAGATCCCCGAATCCGGAGTGGCGGAGATGGGCGCCGCGAGGCGTCCAGTGCGGTAACGCGACCGATCCCGGAGAAGCCGGCGGGAGCCCCGGGGAGAGTTCTCTTTTCTTTGTGAAGGGCAGGGCGCCCTGGAATGGGTTCGCCCCGAGAGAGGGGCCCGTGCCTTGGAAAGCGTCGCGGTTCCGGCGGCGTCCGGTGAGCTCTCGCTGGCCCTTGAAAATCCGGGGGAGAGGGTGTAAATCTCGCGCCGGGCCGTACCCATATCCGCAGCAGGTCTCCAAGGTGAACAGCCTCTGGCATGTTGGAACAATGTAGGTAAGGGAAGTCGGCAAGCCGGATCCGTAACTTCGGGATAAGGATTGGCTCTAAGGGCTGGGTCGGTCGGGCTGGGGCGCGAAGCGGGGCTGGGCGCGCGCCGCGGCTGGACGAGGCGCCGCCGCCCCCCCCACGCCCGGGGCACCCCCCTCGCGGCCCTCCCCCGCCCCACCCCGCGCGCGCCGCTCGCTCCCTCCCCGCCCCGCGCCCTCTCTCTCTCTCTCTCCCCCGCTCCCCGTCCTCCCCCCTCCCCGGGGGAGCGCCGCGTGGGGGCGGCGGCGGGGGGAGAAGGGTCGGGGCGGCAGGGGCCGGCGGCGGCCCGCCGCGGGGCCCCGGCGGCGGGGGCACGGTCCCCCGCGAGGGGGGCCCGGGCACCCGGGGGGCCGGCGGCGGCGGCGACTCTGGACGCGAGCCGGGCCCTTCCCGTGGATCGCCCCAGCTGCGGCGGGCGTCGCGGCCGCCCCCGGGGAGCCCGGCGGGCGCCGGCGCGCCCCCCCCCCCACCCCACGTCTCGTCGCGCGCGCGTCCGCTGGGGGCGGGGAGCGGTCGGGCGGCGGCGGTCGGCGGGCGGCGGGGCGGGGCGGTTCGTCCCCCCGCCCTACCCCCCCGGCCCCGTCCGCCCCCCGTTCCCCCCTCCTCCTCGGCGCGCGGCGGCGGCGGCGGGCGGCGGAGGGGCCGCGGGCCGGTCCCCCCCGCCGGGTCCGCCCCCGGGGCCGCGGTTCCGCGCGGCGCCTCGCCTCGGCCGGCGCCTAGCAGCCGACTTAGAACTGGTGCGGACCAGGGGAATCCGACTGTTTAATTAAAACAAAGCATCGCGAAGGCCCGCGGCGGGTGTTGACGCGATGTGATTTCTGCCCAGTGCTCTGAATGTCAAAGTGAAGAAATTCAATGAAGCGCGGGTAAACGGCGGGAGTAACTATGACTCTCTTAAGGTAGCCAAATGCCTCGTCATCTAATTAGTGACGCGCATGAATGGATGAACGAGATTCCCACTGTCCCTACCTACTATCCAGCGAAACCACAGCCAAGGGAACGGGCTTGGCGGAATCAGCGGGGAAAGAAGACCCTGTTGAGCTTGACTCTAGTCTGGCACGGTGAAGAGACATGAGAGGTGTAGAATAAGTGGGAGGCCCCCGGCGCCCCCCCGGTGTCCCCGCGAGGGGCCCGGGGCGGGGTCCGCCGGCCCTGCGGGCCGCCGGTGAAATACCACTACTCTGATCGTTTTTTCACTGACCCGGTGAGGCGGGGGGGCGAGCCCCGAGGGGCTCTCGCTTCTGGCGCCAAGCGCCCGGCCGCGCGCCGGCCGGGCGCGACCCGCTCCGGGGACAGTGCCAGGTGGGGAGTTTGACTGGGGCGGTACACCTGTCAAACGGTAACGCAGGTGTCCTAAGGCGAGCTCAGGGAGGACAGAAACCTCCCGTGGAGCAGAAGGGCAAAAGCTCGCTTGATCTTGATTTTCAGTACGAATACAGACCGTGAAAGCGGGGCCTCACGATCCTTCTGACCTTTTGGGTTTTAAGCAGGAGGTGTCAGAAAAGTTACCACAGGGATAACTGGCTTGTGGCGGCCAAGCGTTCATAGCGACGTCGCTTTTTGATCCTTCGATGTCGGCTCTTCCTATCATTGTGAAGCAGAATTCACCAAGCGTTGGATTGTTCACCCACTAATAGGGAACGTGAGCTGGGTTTAGACCGTCGTGAGACAGGTTAGTTTTACCCTACTGATGATGTGTTGTTGCCATGGTAATCCTGCTCAGTACGAGAGGAACCGCAGGTTCAGACATTTGGTGTATGTGCTTGGCTGAGGAGCCAATGGGGCGAAGCTACCATCTGTGGGATTATGACTGAACGCCTCTAAGTCAGAATCCCGCCCAGGCGGAACGATACGGCAGCGCCGCGGAGCCTCGGTTGGCCTCGGATAGCCGGTCCCCCGCCTGTCCCCGCCGGCGGGCCGCCCCCCCCTCCACGCGCCCCGCGCGCGCGGGAGGGCGCGTGCCCCGCCGCGCGCCGGGACCGGGGTCCGGTGCGGAGTGCCCTTCGTCCTGGGAAACGGGGCGCGGCTGGAAAGGCGGCCGCCCCCTCGCCCGTCACGCACCGCACGTTCGTGGGGAACCTGGCGCTAAACCATTCGTAGACGACCTGCTTCTGGGTCGGGGTTTCGTACGTAGCAGAGCAGCTCCCTCGCTGCGATCTATTGAAAGTCAGCCCTCGACACAAGGGTTTGTCCGCGCGCGCGCGCGCGCGTGCGTGCGGGGGGCCCGGCGGGGCGTGCGCGTCCGGCGCCGTCCGTCCTTCCGTTCGTCTTCCTCCCTCCCGGCCTCTCCCGCCGACCGCGGGCGTGGTGGTGGGGGTGGGGGGGAGGGCGCGCGACCCCGGTCGGCGCGCCCCGCTTCTTCGGTTCCCGCCTCCTCCCCGTTCACCGCCGGGGCGGCTCGTCCGCTCCGGGCCGGGACGGGGTCCGGGGAGCGTGGTTTGGGAGCCGCGGAGGCGGCCGCGCCGAGCCGGGCCCGTGGCCCGCCGGTCCCCGTCCCGGGGGTTGGCCGCGCGGGCCCCGGTGGGGCGGCCACCCGGGGTCCCGGCCCTCGCGCGTCCTTCCTCCTCGCTCCTCCGCACGGGTCGACCAGCAGACCGCGGGTGGTGGGCGGCGGGCGGCGAGGCCCCACGGGGCGTCCGCGCACCCGGCCGACCTCCGCTCGTGACCTCTCCTCGGTCGGGCCTCCGGGGTCGACCGCCTGCCGCCCGCGGGCGTGAGACTCAGCCGGCGTCTCGCCGTGTCCCGGGTCGACCGGCGGGCCTTCTCCACCGAGCGGCGTGTAGGAGTGCCCGTCGGGACGAACCGCAACCGGAGCGTCCCCGTCTCGGTCGGCACCTCCGGGGTCGACCAGCTGCCGCCCGCGAGCTCCGGACTTAGCCGGCGCCTGCACGTGTCCCGGGTCGACCAGCAGGCGGCCGCCGGACGCTGCGGCGCACCGACGCGAGGGCGTCGATTCCCGTTCGCGCGCCCGCGACCTCCACCGGCCTCGGCCCGCGGTGGAGCTGGGACCACGCGGAACTCCCTCTCTCACATTTTTTTCAGCCCCACCGCGAGTTTGCGTCCGCGGGACTTTTAAGAGGGAGTCACTGCTGCCGTCAGCCAGTAATGCTTCCTCCTTTTTTGCTTTTAGGTTTTGTCTTGCCTTTTTTTTTTTTTTTTTTTCTTCTTTCTTTCTTTCTTTCTTTCTTTCTTTCTTTCTTTCTTTCTTTCTTTGCCGCTCTCGCTCTCTCGCTCTCTCCCTCTCTCGTTTTCTTTCTCTTTCTCTTTCTCTCTCTCTCTCTCTCTCTCTCTCTGTCTCTCGCTCTCGCCCTCTCTCTCTCTCTCTTTCTCTCTGTCTCTCTCTGTCTCTCTCTCTCTCTCTCTCTCTCTCTCTCTCTCTCTCTCTCTCTCTCTCTCTCCCTCCCCCTCCCTCCCTCTCTCCCCTTCCTTGGTGCCTTCTCGGCTCTTGACACTTAGCCGCTGTCTCGCCGTGTCCCGGGTCGACCGGCGGGCCTTCTCCACCGAGCGGCGTGTAAGAGTGCCCGTCGGGACGAGCCGGACCCGCCGCGTCCCCGTCTCGGTCGGCACCTCCGGGGTCGACCAGCTGCCGCCCGCGAGCTCCGGACTTAGCTGGCGTCTGCACGTGTCCCGGGTCGACCAGCAGGCGGCCGCCGGACGCTGCGGCGCACCGACGCGAGGGCGTCGATTCCGGTTCACGCGCCGGCGACCTCCACCGGCCTCGGCCCGCGGTGGAGCTGGGACCACGCGGAACTCCCTCTTCTACATTTTTTTCAGCCCCACCGCGAGTTTGCGTCCGCGGGACTTTTAAGAGGGAGTCACTGCTGCCGTCAGCCAGTAATGCTTCCTCCTTTTTTGCTTTTAGGTTTTGTCTTGCCTTTTTTTTTTTTTTTTTTTTTTCTTTCTTTCTTTCTTTCTTTCTTTCTTTCTTTCTTTCTTTCTTTCTTTCTCGCTCTCGCTCTCTCGCTCTCTCCCTCGCTCGTTTTCTTTCTCTTTCTCTTTCTCTCTCTCTCTCTCTCTCTCTCTCTGTCTCTCGCTCTCGCCCTCTCTCTCTCTCTCTTTCTCTCTGTCTCTCTCTGTCTCTCTCTCTCTCTCTCTCTCTCTCTCTCTCTCTCTCTCTCTCTCTCTCTCTCCCTCCCCCTCCCTCCCTCTCTCCCCTTCCTTGGTGCCTTCTCGGCTCTTGACACTTAGCCGCTGTCTCGCCGTGTCCCGGGTCGACCGGCGGGCCTTCTCCACCGAGCGGCGTGTAAGAGTGCCCGTCGGGACGAGCCGGACCCGCCGCGTCCCCGTCTCGGTCGGCACCTCCGGGGTCGACCAGCTGCCGCCCGCGAGCTCCGGACTTAGCTGGCGTCTGCACGTGTCCCGGGTCGACCAGCAGGCGGCCGCCGGACGCTGCGGCGCACCGACGCGAGGGCGTCGATTCCGGTTCACGCGCCGGCGACCTCCACCGGCCTCGGCCCGCGGTGGAGCTGGGACCACGCGGAACTCCCTCTTCTACATTTTTTTCAGCCCCACTGCGAGTTTGCGTCCGCGGGACTTTTAAGAGGGAGTCACTGCTGCCGTCAGCCAGTAATGCTTCCTCCTTTTTTGCTTTTTGGTTTTGCCTTGCGTTTTCTTTCTTTCTTTCTTTCTTTCTTTCTTTCTTTCTTTTCTTTCTTTCTTTCTTTCTTTCTTTCTTTCTCTCTCTCTCTCTCTCTCTCTGTCTCTCTCCCCTCCCTCCCTCCTTGGTGCCTTCTCGGCTCGCTGCTGCTGCTGCCTCTGCCTCCACGGTTCAAGCAAACAGCAAGTTTTCTATTTCGAGTAAAGACGTAATTTCACCATTTTGGCCGGGCTGGTCTCGAACTCCCGACCTAGTGATCCGCCCGCCTCGGCCTCCCAAAGACTGCTGGGAGTACAGATGTGAGCCACCATGCCCGGCCGATTCCTTCCTTTTTTCAATCTTATTTTCTGAACGCTGCCGTGTATGAACATACATCTACACATACACACACACACACACACACACACACACACACACACACACACACACACACACACACCCCCCGTAGTGATAAAACTATGTAAATGATATTTCCATAATTAATACGTTTATATTATGTTACTTTTAATGGATGAATATGTATCGAAGCCCCATTTCATTTACATACACGTGTATGTATATCCTTCCTCCCTTCCTTCATTCATTATTTATTAATAATTTTCGTTTATTTATTTTCTTTTCTTTTGGGGCCGGCCCGCCTGGTCTTCTGTCTCTGCGCTCTGGTGACCTCAGCCTCCCAAATAGCTGGGACTACAGGGATCTCTTAAGCCCGGGAGGGAGAGGTTAACGTGGGCTGTGATCGCACACTTCCACTCCAGCTTACGTGGGCTGCGGTGGGGTGGGGTGCAGAGAAAACGATTGATTGCGATCTCAATTGCCTTTTAGCTTCATTCATACCCTGTTATTTGCTCGTTTATTCTCATGGGTTCTTCTGTGTCATTGTCACGTTCATCGTTTGCTTGCCTGCTTGCCTGTTTATTTCCTTCCTTCCTTCCTTCCTTCCTTCCTTCCTTCCTTCCCTCCTTCCTTCCTTCCTTCCCTCCCTTACTGGCAGGGTCTTCCTCTGTCTCTGCCGCCCAGGATCACCCCAACCTCAACGCTTTGGACCGACCAAACGGTCGTTCTGCCTCTGATCCCTCCCATCCCCATTACCTGAGACTACAGGCGCGCACCACCACACCGGCTGACTTTTATGTTGTTTCTCATGTTTTCCGTAGGTAGGTATGTGTGTGTGTGTGTGTGTGTGTGTGTGTGTGTGTGTGTGTGTGTGTGTATCTATGTATGTATGTATGTATGTGAGTGAGATGGGTTTCGGGGTTCTATCATGTTGCCCACGCTGGTCTCGAACTCCTGTCCTCAAGCAATCCGCCTGCCTGCCTCGGCCGCCCACACTGCTGCTATTACAGGCGTGAGACGCTGCGCCTGGCTCCTTCTACATTTGCCTGCCTGCCTGCCTGCCTGCCTGCCTGCCTGCCTGCCTGCCTGCCTATCAATCGTCTTCTTTTTAGTACGGATGTGCTCTCGCTTTATTGTCCATGCTCTGGGCACACGTGGTCTCTTTTCAAACTTCTATGATTATTATTATTGTAGGCGTCATCTCACGTGTCGAGGTGATCTCGAACTTTTAGGCTCCAGAGATCCTCCCGCATCGGCCTCCCGGAGTGCTGTGATGACACGCGTGGGCACGGTACGCTCTGGTCGTGTTTGTCGTGGGTCGGTTCTTTCCGTTTTTAATACGGGGACTGCGAACGAAGAAAATTTCCAGACGCATCTCACCGATCCGCCTTTTCGTTCTTTCTTTTTATTCTCTTTAGACGGAGTTTCACTCTTGTCGCCCAGGGTGGAGTACGATGGCGGCTCTCGGCTCACCGCACCCTCCGCCTCCCAGGTTCAAGTGATTCTCCTGCCTCAGCCTTCCCGAGTAGCTGGAATGACAGAGATGAGCCATCGTGCCCGGCTAATTTTTCTATTTTTACTACAGATGGGGTTTCTCCATCTTGGTCAGGCTGGTCTTCAACTTCCGACCGTTGGAGAATCTTAACTTTCTTGGTGGTGGTTGTTTTCCTTTTTCTTTTTTTTCTTTTCTTTTCTTTCCTTCTCCTCCCCCCCCACCCCCCCTTGTCGTCGTCCTCCTCCTCCTCCTCCTCCTCCTCCTCCTCCTCCTCCTCCTCCTCCTCTTTCATTTCTTTCAGCTGGGCTCTCCTACGTGTGTTGCTCTGTTGCTCACGCTGGTCTCAAACTCCTGGCCTTGACGCTTCTCCCGTCACATCCGCCGTCTGGTTGTTGAAATGAGCATCTCTCGTAAAATGGAAAAGATGAAAGAAATAAACACGAAGACGGAAAGCACGGTGTGAACGTTTCTCTTGCCGTCTCCCGGGGTGTACCTTGGACCCGGAAACACGGAGGGAGCTTGGCTGAGTGGGTTTTCGGTGCCGAAACCTCCCGAGGGCCTCCTTCCCTCTCCCCCTTGTCCCCGCTTCTCCCCCAGCCGAGGCTCCCACCGCCGCCCTGGCATTTTCCATAGGAGAGGTATGGGAGAGGACTGACACGCCTTCCAGATCTATATCCTGCCGGACGTCTCTGGCTCGGCGTGCCCCACCGGCTACCTGCCACCTTCCAGGGAGCTCTGAGGCGGATGCGACCCCCACCCCCCCGTCACGTCCCGCTACCCTCCCCCGGCTGGCCTTTGCCGGGCGACCCCAGGGGAACCGCGTTGATGCTGCCTTCGGATCCTCCGGCGAAGACTTCCACCGGATGCCCCGGGTGGGCCGGTTGGGATCAGACTGGACCACCCCGGACCGTGCTGTTCTTGGGGGTGGGTTGACGTACAGGGTGGACTGGCAGCCCCAGCATTGTAAAGGGTGCGTGGGTATGGAAATGTCACCTAGGATGCCCTCCTTCCCTTCGGTCTGCCTTCAGCTGCCTCAGGCGTGAAGACAACTTCCCATCGGAACCTCTTCTCTTCCCTTTCTCCAGCACACAGATGAGACGCACGAGAGGGAGAAACAGCTCAATAGATACCGCTGACCTTCATTTGTGGAATCCTCAGTCATCGACACACAAGACAGGTGACTAGGCAGGGACACAGATCAAACACTATTTCCGGGTCCTCGTGGTGGGATTGGTCTCTCTCTCTCTCTCTCTCTCTCTCTCTCTCGCACGCGCACGCGCGCACACACACACACAATTTCCATATCTAGTTCACAGAGCACACTCACTTCCCCTTTTCACAGTACGCAGGCTGAGTAAAACCCGCCCCACCCTCCACCCGTTGGCTGACGAAACCCCTTCTCTACAATTGATGAAAAAGATGATCTGGGCCGGGCACGCTAGCTCACGCCTGTCACTCCGGCACTTTGGGAGGCCGAGGCGGGTGGATCGCTTGGGGCCGGGAGTTCGAGACCAGGCTGGCCGACGTGGCGAAACCCCGTCTCTCTGAAAAATAGAACGATTAGCCGGGCCTGGTGGCGTGGGCTTGGAATCACGACCGCTCGGGAGACTGGGGCGGGCGACTTGTTCCAACCGGGGAGGCCGAGGTTGCGATGAGCTGAGATCGTGCCGTGGCGATGCGGCCTGGATGACGGAGCGAGACCCCGTCTCGAGAGAATCATGATGTTATTATAAGATGAGTTGTGCGCGGTGATGGCCGCCTGTAGTCGCGGCTACTCGGGAGGCTGAGACGAGGAGAAGATCACTTGAGGCCCCACAGGTCGAGGCTTCGGTCGGCCGTGACCCACTGTATCCTGGGCAGTCACCGGTCAAGGAGATATGCCCCTTCCCCGTTTGCTTTTCTTTTCTTCCCTTCTCTTTTCTTCTTTTTGCTTCTCTTTTCTTTCTTTCTTTCTTTCTTTCTTTCTTTCTTTTTCTTTTTCTCTCTTCCCCTCTTTCTTTCCTGCCTTCCTGCCTTTCTTCTTTTCTTCTTTCCTCCCTTCCTCCCTTCCTTCTTTCCTCCCGCCTCAGCCTCCCAAAGTGCTGGGATGACTGGCGGGAGGCACCATGCCTGCTTGGCCCAAAGAGACCCTCTTGGAAAGTGAGACGCAGAGAGCGCCTTCCAGTGATCTCATTGACTGATTTAGAGACGGCATCTCGCTCCGTCACCCCGGCAGTGGTGCCGTCGTAACTCACTCCCTGCAGCGTGGACGCTCCTGGACTCGAGCGATCCTTCCACCTCAGCCTCCAGAGTACAGAGCCTGGGACCGCGGGCACGCGCCACTGTGCCCACACCGTTTTTAATTGTTTTTTTTTCCCCCGAGACAGAGTTTCACTCTCGTGGCCTAGACTGCAGTGCGGTGGCGCGATCTTGGCTCACCGCAACCTCTGCCTCCCGGTTTCAAGCGATTCTCCTGCATCGGCCTCCTGAGTAGCCGGGATTGCGGGCATGCGCTGCCACGTCTGGCTGATTTCGTATTTTTAGTGGAGACGGGGCTTCTCCATGTCGATCGGGCTGGTTTCGAACTCCCGACCTCAGGTGATCCGCCCTCCCCGGCCTCCGGAAGTGCTGGGATGACAGGCGTGAGCCACCGCGCCCGGCCTTCATTTTTAAATGTTTTCCCACAGACGGGGTCTCATCATTTCTTTGCAACCCTCCTGCCCGGCGTCTCAAAGTGCTGGCGTGACGGGCGTGAGCCACTGCGCCTGGACTCCGGGGAATGACTCACGACCACCATCGCTCTACTGATCCTTTCTTTCTTTCTTTCTTTCTTTCTTTCTTTCTTTCTTTCTTGATGAATTATCTTATGATTTATTTGTGTACTTATTTTCAGACGGAGTCTCGCTCTGGGCGGGGCGAGGCGAGGCGAGGCACAGCGCATCGCTTTGGAAGCCGCGGCAACGCCTTTCAAAGCCCCATTCGTATGCACAGAGCCTTATTCCCTTCCTGGAGTTGGAGCTGATGCCTTCCGTAGCCTTGGGCTTCTCTCCATTCGGAAGCTTTGACAGGCGCAACCCCACCCAGAGGCTGGCTGCGGCTGAGGATTAGGGGGTGTGTTGGGGCTGAAAACTGGGTCCCCTATTTTTGATACCTCAGCCGACACATCCCCCGACCGCCATCGCTTGCTCGCCCTCTGAGATCCCCCGCCTCCACCGCCTTGCAGGCTCACCTCTTACTTTCATTTCTTCCTTTCTTGCGTTTGAGGAGGGGGTGCGGGAATGAGGGTGTGTGTGGGGAGGGGGTGCGGGGTGGGGACGGAGGGGAGCGTCCTAAGGGTCGATTTAGTGTCATGCCTCTTTCACCACCACCACCACCACCGAAGATGACAGCAAGGATCGGCTAAATACCGCGTGTTCTCATCTAGAAGTGGGAACTTACAGATGACAGTTCTTGCATGGGCAGAACGAGGGGGACCGGGGACGCGGAAGTCTGCTTGAGGGAGGAGGGGTGGAAGGAGAGACAGCTTCAGGAAGAAAACAAAACACGAATACTGTCGGACACAGCACTGACTACCCGGGTGATGAAATCATCTGCACACTGAACACCCCCGTCACAAGTTTACCTATGTCACAATCTTGCACATGTATGCTTGAACGACAAATAAAAGTTAGGGGGGAGAAGAGAGGAGAGAGAGAGAGAGAGAGAGACAGAGAGAGACAGAGAGAGAGAGAGAGGAGGGAGAGAGAAAACGAAACACCACCTCCTTGACCTGAGTCAGGGGGTTTCTGGCCTTTTGGGAGAACGTTCAGCGACAATGCAGTATTTGGGCCCGTTCTTTTTTTTTCTTCTTCTTTTCTTTCTTTTTTTTTGGACTGAGTCTCTCTCGCTCTGTCACCCAGGCTGCGGTGCGGTGGCGCTCTCTCGGCTCACTGAAACCTCTGCTTCCCGGGTTCCAGTGATTCTTCTTCGGTAGCTGGGATTACAGGCGCACACCATGACGGCCGGCTCATATTCCTATTTTCAGTAGAGACGGGGTTTCTCCACGTTGGCCACGCTGGTCTCGAACTCCTGACCTCAAATGATCCGCCTTCCTGGGCCTCCCAAAGTGCTGGAAACGACAGGCCTGAGCCGCCGGGATTTCAGCCTTTAAAAGCGCGGGCCCTGCCACCTTTCGCTGTGGCCCTTACGCTCAGAATGACGTGTCCTCTCTGCCGTAGGTTGACTCCTTGAGTCCCCTAGGCCATTGCACTGTAGCCTGGGCAGCAAGAGCCAAACTCCGTCCCCCCACCTCCCCGCGCACATAATAACTAACTAACAAACTAACTAACTAACTAAACTAACTAAATAAATAAAATCTCTACACGTCACCTCTAAGTGTGTGTTCCCGTGAGGAGTGATTTCTAAGAAATGGCACTGTACACTGAACGCAGTGGCTCACGTCTGTCATCCCGAGGTCAGGAGTTCGAGACCAGCCCGGCCAACGTGGTGAAACCCCCGTCTCTACTGAAAATACGAAATGGAGTCAGGCGCCGTGGGGCAGGCACCTGTAACCCCAGCTACTCGGGAGGCTGGGGTGGAAGAATTGCTTGAACCTGGCAGGCGGAGGCTGCAGTGACCCAAGATCGCACCACTGCACTACAGCCTGGGCGACAGAGTGAGACCCGGTCTCCAGATAAATACGTACATAAATAAATACACACATACATACATACATACATACATACATACATACATACATACATCCATGCATACAGATATACAAGAAAGAAAAAAAGAAAAGAAAAGAAAGAGAAAATGAAAGAAAAGGCACTGTATTGCTACTGGGCTAGGGCCTTCTCTCTGTCTGTTTCTCTCTGTTCGTCTCTGTCTTTCTCTCTGTGTCTCTTTCTCTGTCTGTCTGTCTCTTTCTTTCTCTCTGTCTCTGTCTCTGTCTTTGTCTCTCTCTCTCCCTCTCTGCCTGTCTCACTGTGTCTGTCTTCTGTCTTACTCTCTTTCTCTCCCCGTCTGTCTCTCTCTCTCTCTCTCCCTCCCTGTTTGTTTCTCTCTCTCCCTCCCTGTCTGTTTCTCTCTCTCTCTTTCTGTCTGTTTCTGTCTCTCTCTGTCTGTCTATGTCTTTCTCTGTCTGTCTCTTTCTCTGTCTGTCTGCCTCTCTCTTTCTTTTTCTGTGTCTCTCTGTCGGTCTCTCTCTCTCTGTCTGTCTGTCTGTCTCTCTCTCTCTCTCTCTGTGCCTATCTTCTGTCTTACTCTCTTTCTCTGCCTGTCTGTCTGTCTCTCCCTCCCTTTCTGTTTCTCTCTCTCTCTCTCTCTCTCTCCCCCTCTCCCTGTCTGTTTCTCTCCGTCTCTCTCTCTTTCTGTCTGTTTCTCACTGTCTCTCTCTGTCCATCTCTCTCTCTCTCTGTCTGTCTCTTTCGTTCTCTCTGTCTGTCTGTCTCTCTCTCTCTCTCTCTCTCTCTCTCTCTTTCTGTCTCTCACTCTCTGTGTGTATCTTCTGTCTTACTCTCCTTCTCTGCCTGTCCGTCTGTCTGTCTGTCTGTCTGTCTCTCTCTCCCTTTCTGTCTCTCTCTCTCTCTGTCCCTCTCTCTTTCTGTCTGTTCCTCTCTCTCTCTCTGTCTCTGTCTTTCTCTGTCTGTCTGCCTCTCTCTTTCTTTCTCTTTCTGTGTCTCTCTGTCTCTCTCTCTGTGCCTATCTTCTGTCTTACTCTCTTTCTCTGCCTGCCTGCCTGTCTGTCTGTCTGTCTCTCTCTGTCTCTCTCCCTGCCTTTCTGTTTCTCTCTCTCTCTCCCTCTCTCTCTCCCTCTCTCGCTCTCTCTGTCTTTCTCTCTTTCTCTCTGTTTCTCTGTCTCTCTCTGTCCGTCTCTGTCTTTTTCTGTCTGTCTCTCTCTTTCTTTCTGTCTGTCTCTGTCTCTGTCTCTCTCTCTCTCTCTGCTTGTCTCTCTCACTGTGTCTGTCCTCTGTCTTACTCTCCTTCTCTGCCTGTCCGTCTGTCTGTCTGTCTCTCTCTCTCTCCCTCCCTTTCTGTTTCTCTCTCGCTCTCTCTCTCTCTCTCTCTCTCTCTCTGCCTGTTTCTCTTTCTCTCTCTGTCTGTCTCTGTCTTTCTCTGTCTGTCTCTTTCTCTGTCTGTCTGTCTCCTTCTCTCTGTCTCCGTCTCTGTCTCTCTCTCTCTGTCTCTCTCTCTCTGCCTGTCTCACTGTGTCTGTCTTCTGTCTTATTCTCTTTCTCTGTCTGTCTGTCTCTCTCTCTCCCTTCCTGTCTCTTTCTCTCTCTCTCTCTCTCTCTTTCTGTCTGTTTCTCTCTGCCTGTCTCCGTCTTTCTCTGTCTGCCTCTCTCTTTCTTTTTCTGCGTCTCTCTGTCTCTCTCTCTCTGTGCCTATCTTCTGTCTTACTCTGTTTCTCTGCCTGCCTGTCTGTCTGTCTGTCTCTCTCTCTCTCTGTCTCTCTCTCTTTCTGTCTGTTTCTCTCTGTCTCTCTGTCCATCTCTGTCTTTCTCTGTCCGTCTCTCTCTTTCTCCCTGTCTCTGTCTCTGCCTCTGCCTCTCTCTCTCTCTGTCTCTCTCTTTCTATCTGTTTCTCTCTGTCTCTCTGTCCATCTCTGTCTTTCTCTGTCTGTCTCTCTCTTTCTCCCTGTCTCTGTCTCTGCCTCTCTCTCTCTCTCTCTGTCTGTCTCTCTCACTGTGTGTGTGTCTCTGTCTCTGCCTCTCTCTCTCTCTCTCTCTCTGTCTGTCTCTCTCACTGTGTGTGTCTGTCTTCTGTCTTACTCTCCTTCTCTGCCTGTCCGTCTGTCTGTCTGTCTCTCCCTCTCTCTCCCTCCCTTTCTGTTTCTCTCTCTCTCTCTCTCTCTTTCTGTCTGTTTCTCTCTTTCTCTCTCTGTCTGTCTCTTTCTCTGTCTGTCTGTCTCTCTCTTTCTTTTTCTCTGTCTCTCTGTCTCTCTCTGTGCCTGTCTCTCTGTCTGTGCCTATCTTCTGTCTTACTCTCTTTCTCTGGCTGACTGCCTGTCTCTCTCTCTCTCTCTCTCTCTCTCTCTCTCTGCCTGTCTCCGTCCCTCCCTCCCTGTCTGTCTGTTTCTCTCTCTGTCCATTTCTGTCTGTCTCTTTCTCTTTCTCTCTCTTTCTTTCTCTCTGTCTCTCTCTGTCTCTCTCTGTCTCTCTCTCTCTCTCTCTCTCTCTCTCTCTCTCTCTCTCTCTCTGCCTTTCTCTCTCACTGTGTCGGTCTTCTGTCTTACTCTCTTTCTCTGCCTGCCTCTCTGTCTGTCTGTCTGTCTCTCTCCCTCCATGTCTCTCTCTCTCTCTCTCTCACTCACTGTCTCTCCGTCTCTCTCTCTTTCTGTCTGTTTCTCTCTGTCTCTGTCTTTCTGTGTGTCTGTCTGTCTCTCTCTCTATTTGTCTTTCTCCCTCCCTGTCTGTTTCTCTCTCTCTCTCTCTCTCTCTCTCTCTCCCTGTCTGTCTGTTTCTCTCTATCTCTCGCTGTCCATCTCTGTCTTTCTATGTCTGTCTCTTTCTCTGTCAGTCTGTCAGACACCCCCGTGCCGGGTAGGGCCCTGCCCCTTCCACGAAAGTGAGAAGCGCGTGCTTCGGTGCTTAGAGAGGCCGAGAGGAATCTAGACAGGCGGGCCTTGCTGGGCTTCCCCACTCGGTGTATGATTTCGGGAGGTCGAGGCCGGGTCCCCGCTTGGATGCGAGGGGCATTTTCAGACTTTTCTCTCGGTCACGTGTGGCGTCCGTACTTCTCCTATTTCCCCGATAAGCTCCTCGACTTCAACATAAACGGCGTCCTAAGGGTCGATTTAGTGTCATGCCTCTTTCACCGCCACCACCGAAGATGAAAGCAAAGATCGGCTAAATACCGCGTGTTCTCATCTAGAAGTGGGAACTTACAGATGACAGTTCTTGCATGGGCAGAACGAGGGGGACCGGGGACGCGGAAGCCTGCTTGAGGGAGGAGGGGTGGAAGGAGAGACAGCTTCAGGAAGAAAACAAAACACGAATACTGTCGGACACAGCACTGACTACCCGGGTGATGAAATCATCTGCACACTGAACACCCCCGTCACAAGTTTACCTATGTCACAGTCTTGCTCATGTATGCTTGAACGACAAATAAAAGTTCGGGGGGGAGAAGAGAGGAGAGAGAGAGAGAGACGGGGAGAGAGGGGGGAGAGGGGGGGGGAGAGAGAGAGAGAGAGAGAGAGAGAGAGAGAGAGAGAGAGAGAGAGAAAGAGAAGTAAAACCAACCACCACCTCCTTGACCTGAGTCAGGGGGTTTCTGGCCTTTTGGGAGAACGTTCAGCGACAATGCAGTATTTGGGCCCGTTCTTTTTTTCTTCTTCTTCTTTTCTTTCTTTTTTTTTGGACTGAGTCTCTCTCGCTCTGTCACCCAGGCTGCGGTGCGGTGGCGCTCTCTCGGCTCACTGAAACCTCTGCTTCCCGGGTTCCAGTGATTCTTCTTCGGTAGCTGGGATTACAGGTGCGCACCATGACGGCCGGCTCATCGTTCTATTTTTAGTAGAGACGGGGTTTCTCCACGTTGGCCACGCTGGTCTCGAACTCCTGACCACAAATGATCCACCTTCCTGGGCCTCCCAAAGTGCTGGAAACGACAGGCCTGAGCCGCCGGGATTTCAGCCTTTAAAAGCGCGGGCCCTGCCACCTTTCGCTGCGGCCCTTACGCTCAGAATGACGTGTCCTCTCTGCCATAGGTTGACTCCTTGAGTCCCCTAGGCCATTGCACTGTAGCCTGGGCAGCAAGAGCCAAACTCCGTCCCCCCACCTCCCCGCGCACATAATAACTAACTAACTAACTAACTAACTAAAATCTCTACACGTCACCCATAAGTGTGTGTTCCCGTGAGGAGTGATTTCTAAGAAATGGTACTGTACACTGAACGCAGTGGCTCACGTCTGTCATCCCGAGGTCAGGAGTTCGAGACCAGCCCGGCCAACGTGGTGAAACCCCCGTCTCTACTGAAAATACGAAATGGAGTCAGGCGCCGTGGGGCAGGCACCTGTAACCCCAGCTACTCGGGAGGCTGGGGTGGAAGAATTGCTTGAACCTGGCAGGCGGAGGCTGCAGTGACCCAAGATCGCACCACTGCACTACAGCCTGGGCGACAGAGTGAGACCCGGTCTCCAGATAAATACGTACATAAATAAATACACACATACATACATACATACATACATACATACATACATACATACAGATATACAAGAAAGAAAAAAAGAAAAGAAAAGAAAGAGAAAATGAAAGAAAAGGCACTGTATTGCTACTGGGCTAGGGCCTTCTCTCTGTCTGTTTCTCTCTGTTCGTCTCTGTCTTTCTCTCTGTGTCTCTTTCTCTGTCTGTCTGTCTGTCTGTCTGTCTCTTTCTTTCTTTCTGTCTCTGTCTTTGTCCCTCTCTCTCCCTCTCTGCCTGTCTCACTGTGTCTGTCTTCTATCTTACTCTCTTTCTCTCCCCGTCTGTCTCTCTCTCACTCCCTCCCTGTCTGTTTCTCTCTCTCTCTCTTTCTGTCTGTTTCTGTCTCTCTCTGTCTGCCTCTCTCTTTCTCTATCTGTCTCTTTCTCTGTCTGTCTGCCCCTCTCTTTCTTTTTCTGTGTCTCTCTGTCTGTCTCTCTCTCTCTCTGTGCCTATCTTCTGTCTTACTCTCTTTCTCTGCCTGTCTGTCTGTCTCTCTCTGTCTCTCCCTCCCTTTCTGCTTCTCTCTCTCTCTCTCTCTCTCCCCCCTCCCTGTCTGTTTCTCTCTGTCTCCCTCTCTTTCTGTCTGTTTCTCACTGTCTCTCTCTGTCTGTCTGTTTCATTCTCTCTGTCTCTGTCTCTGTCTCTCTCTCTCTCTGTCTCTCCCTCTCTGTGTGTATCTTTTGTCTTACTCTCCTTCTCTGCCTGTCCGTCTGTCTGTCTGTCTCTCTCTCTCCCTGTCCCTCTCTCTTTCTGTCTGTTTCTCTCTCTCTCTCTCTCTCTCTCTCTCTGTCTCTGTCTTTCTCTGTCTGTCCCTTTCTCTGTCTGTCTGCCTCTCTCTTTCTCTTTCTGTGTCTCTCTGTCTCTCTCTCTGTGCCTATCTTCTGTCTTACTCTCTTTCTCTGCCTGTCTATCTGTCTGTCTCTCTCTGTCTCTCTCCCTGCCTTTCTGTTTCTCTCTCTCTCCCTCTCTCGCTCTCTCTGTCTTTCTCTCTTTCTCTCTGTTTCTCTGTCTCTCTCTGTCCGTCTCTGTCTTTTTCTGTCTGTCTGTCTCTCTCTTTCTTTCTGTCGTCTGTCTCTGTCTCTGTCTCTGTCTCTCTCTCTCTCTCTCTCCTTGTCTCTCTCACTGTGTCTGTCTTCTGTCTTACTCTCCTTCTCTGCCTGTCCATCTGTCTGTCTGTCTCTCTCTCTCTCTCCCTACCTTTCTGTTTCTCTCTCGCTAGCTCTCTCTCTCTCTGCCTGTTTCTCTCTTTCTCTCTCTGTCTTTCTCTGTCTGTCTCTTTCTCTGTCTGTCTGTCTCTTTCTCTCTGTCTCTGTCTCTGTCTCTCTCTCTCTCTCTCTCTCTCTGCCTCTCTCACTGTGTCTGTCTTCTGTCTTATTCTCTTTCTCTCTCTGTCTCTCTCTCTCTCTCCTTTCCTGTCTGTTTTTCTCTCTCTCTCTCTCTTTCTGCCTGTTTCTCTCTGTCTGTCTCTGTCTTTCTCTGTCTGTCTGCCTCTCTCTTTCTTTTTCTGCGTCTCTCTGTCTCTCTCTCTCTCTCTCTGTTCCTATCTTCTGTCTTACTCTGTTTCCTTGCCTGCCTGCCTGTCTGTGTGTCTGTCTCTCTCTCTCTCTCTCTCTCTCTCTCTCCCTCCCTTTCTCTTTCTCTGTCTCTCTCTCTCTTTCTGGGTGTTTCTCTCTGTCTCTCTGTCCATCTCTGTCTTTCTATGTCTGTCTCTCTCTTTCTCTCTGTCTCTGTCTCTGCCTCTCTCTCTCTCTCTCTCTCTCTCTCTCTCTCTCTCTGTCTGTCTCTCTCACTGTGTGTGTCTGTCTTCTGTCTTACTCTCCTTCTCTGCCTGTCCGTCTGTCTGTCTGTCTCTCCCTCTCTCTCCCTCCCTTTCTGTTTCTCTCTCTCTCTCTTTCTGTCTGTTTCTCTCTTTCTCTCTCTGTCTGTCTCTTTCTCTGTCTGTCTGTCTCTCTCTTTCTTTTTCTCTGTCTCTCTGTCTCTCTCTGTGTCTGTCTCTCTTTCTGTGCCTATCTTCTGTCTTACTCTCTTTCTCTGGCTGTCTGCCTGTCTCTCTCTCTCTGCCTGTCTCCGTCCCTCCCTCCCTGTCTGTCTGTTTCTCTCTCTGTCTCTGTCTCTCTGTCCATCTCTGTCTGTCTCTTTCTCTTTCTCTCTCTCTGTCTCTGTCTCTCTCTCTCTCTGCCTGTCTCTCTCACTGTGTCTGTCTTCTGTCTTACTCTCTTTCTCTGCCTGCCTCTCTGTCTGTCTGTCTCTCTCCCTCCATGTCTCTCTCTCTCTCTCACTCACTCTCTCTCCGTCTCTCTCTCTTTCTGTCTGTTTCTCTCTCTGTCTGTCTCTCTCCCTCCATGTCTCTCTCTCTCTCTCTCACTCACTCTCTCTCCGTCTCTCTCTCTCTTTCTGTCTGTTTCTCTCTCTGTCTGTCTCTCTCCCTCCATGTCTCTCTCTCTCCCTCTCACTCACTCTCTCTCCGTCTCTCTCTCTCTTTCTGTCTGTTTCTCTGTCTGTCTGTCTGTCTGTCTGTCTCTCTCTCTCTCTCTCTCTCTCTCTCTCTCTCTGTTTGTCTTTCTCCCTCCCTGTCTGTCTGTCTGTCTCTCTCTCTCTGTCTCTGTCTCTGTCTCTCTCTCTTTCTCTTTCTGTCTGTTTCTCTCTATCTCTCGCTGTCCATCTCTGTCTTTCTATGTCTGTCTCTTTCTCTGTCAGTCTGTCAGACACCCCCGTGCCGGGTAGGGCCCTGCCCCTTCCACGAGAGTGAGAAGCGCGTGCTTCGGTGCTTAGAGAGGCCGAGAGGAATCTAGACAGGCGGGCCTTGCTGGGCTTCCCCACTCGGTGTACGATTTCGGGAGGTCGAGGCCGGGTCCCCGCTTGGATGCGAGGGGCATTTTCAGACTTTTCTCTCGGTCACGTGTGGCGTCCGTACTTCTCCTATTTCCCCGATAAGCTCCTCGACTTCAACATAAACTGTTAAGGCCGGACGCAACACGGCGAAACCCCGTCTCTACTAAAAATACAAAGCTGAGTCGGGAGCGGTGGGGCAGGCCCCTGTAATGCCAGCTCCTCGGGAGGCTGAGGCGGGAGAATCGCTTGAACCAGGGAAGCGGAGGCTGCAGGGAGCCGAGATCGCGCCACTGCACTACGGCCCAGGCTGTAGAGTGAGTGAGACTCGGTCTCTAAATAAATACGGAAATTAATTAATTCATTAATTCTTTTCCCTGCTGACGGACATTTGCAGGCAGGCATCGGTTGTCTTCGGGCATCACCTAGCGGCCACTGTTATTGAAAGTCGACGTGACACGGAGGGAGGTCTCGCCGACTTCACCGAGCCTGGGGCAACGGGTTTCTCTCTCTCCCTTCTGGAGGCCCCTCCCTCTCTCCCTCGTTGCCTAGGGAACCTCGCCTAGGGAACCTCCGCCCTGGCGGGGGCCCTATTGTTCTTTGATCGGCGCTTTACTTTTCTTTGTGTTTTGGCGCCTAGACTCTTCTACTTGGGCTTTGGGAAGGGTCAGTTTAATTTTCAAGTTGCCCCCCGGCTCCCCCCACTACCCACGTCCCTTCACCTTAATTTAGTGAGTCGGTTAGGTGGGTTTCCCCCAAACCGCCCCCCCCCCCCCGCCTCCCAACACCCTGCTTGGAAACCTTCCAGAGCCACCCCGGTGTGCCTCCGTCTTCTCTCCCCTTCCCCCACCCCTTGCCGGCGATCTCATTCTTGCCAGGCTGACATTTGCATCGGTGGGCGTCAGGCCTCACTCGGGGGCCACCGTTTTTGAAGATGGGGGCGGCACGGTCCCACTTCCCCGGAGGCAGCTTGGGCCGATGGCATAGCCCCTTGACCCGCGTGGGCAAGCGGGCGGGTCTGCAGTTGTGAGGCTTTTCCCCCCGCTGCTTCCCGCCTCAGGCCTCCCTCCCTAGGAAAGCTTCACCCTGGCTGGGTCTCGGTCACCTTTTATCACGATGTTTTAGTTTCTCCGCCCTCCGGCCAGCAGAGTTTCACAATGCGAAGGGCGCCACGGCTCTAGTCTGGGCCTTCTCAGTACTTGCCCAAAATAGAAACGCTTTCTGAAAACTAATAACTTTGCTCACTTAAGATTTCCAGGGACGGCGCCTTGGCCCGTGTTTGTTGGCTTGTTTTGTTTCGTTCTGTTTTGTTTTGTTCGTGTTTTTCCTTTCTCGTATGTCTTTCTTTTCAGGTGAAGTAGAAATCCCCAGTTTTCAGGAAGACGTCTATTTTCCCCAAGACACGTTAGCTGCCGTTTTTTCCTGTTGTGAACTAGCGCTTTTGTGACTCTCTCAACGTGCAGTGAGAGCCGGTTGATGTTTACTATCCTTCATCATGACATCTTATTTTCTAGAAATCCGTAGGCGAATGCTGCTGCTGCTCTTGTTGCTGTTGTTGTTGTTGTTGTTGTCGTCGTTGCTGTTGTCGTTGTCGTTGTTGTTGTCGTTGTCGTTGTTTTCAAAGTATACCCCGGCCACCGTTTATGGGATCAAAAGCATTATAAAATATGTGTGATTATTTCTTGAGCACGCCCTTCCTCCCCCTCTCTCTGTCTCTCTGTCTGTCTCTGTCTCTCTCTTTCTCTGTCTGTCTTCTCTCTCTCTCTCTCTCTGTGTCTCTCTCTCTCTGCCTGTCTGTTTCTCTCTCTCTGCCTCTCTCTCTCTCTCTCTCTCTCTGCCTGTCTCTCTCACTGTGTCTGTCTTCTGTCTTACTCCCTTTCTCTGTCTGTCTGTCGGTCTCTCTCTCTCTCTCTCCCTGTCTGTATGTTTCTCTCTGTCTCTGTCTCTCTCTCTCTTTCTGTTTCTCTCTCTCCGTCTCTGTCTTTCTCTGACTGTCTCTCTCTTTCCTTCTCTCTGTCTCTCTCTGCCTGTCTCTCTCACTCTGTCTTCTGTCTTACTCTCTCTCTCTGCCTGCCTGTCTCTCTCACTCTCTCTCTCTGTGTGTCTCTCTCTCTCTTTCTGTTTCTCTCTGTCTCTCTGTCCGTCTCTGTCTTTCTCTGTCTGTCTCTTTGTCTGTCTGTCTTTGTCTTTCCTTCTCTCTGTCTCTGTCTCTCTCACTGTGTCTGTCTTCTGTCTTAGTCTCTCTCTCTCTCTCTCCCTGTCTGTCTGTCTCTCTCTCTCTCTCCCCCTGTCTGTTTCTCTCTCTCTCTCTCTCTCTCTCTCTCTCTCTGTCTTTGTCTTTCTTTCTGTCTCTGTCTCTCTCTCTCTCTCTGTGTGTCTGTCTTCTGTCTTACTGTCTTTCTCTGCCTGTCTGTCTGTCTGTCTCTCTCTGTCTGTCTCTCTCTCTCTCTCCCCCCGTCGGCTGTTTCTCTGTCTCTGTCTGTGTCTCTCTTTCTGTCTGTTTCTCTCTGTCTGTCTTTCTCTCTCTGTCTCTTTCTCTCTGTCTCTCTGTCTGTCTCTGTCTCTCTCTCTGTCTCTCTCTCTCTGTGGGGGTGTGTGTGTGTGTGTGTGTGTATGTGTGTGTGTGTGTGTGTGTGTGTGTCTGCCTTCTGTCTTACTCTCTTTCTCTGCCTGTCTGTCTGCCTGTCTGTTTGTCTCTCTCTCTCTGCCTGTCTCTCTCCCTTCCTGTCTGTTTCTCTCTCTTTCTGTTTCTCTCTGTCTCTGTCCATCTCTGTCTTTCTCCGTCTGTCTCTTTATCTGTCTCTCTCCGTCTGTCTCTTTATCTGTCTCTCTCTCTCTTTCTGTCTTTCTCTCTCTGTGTATCGTTGTCTCTCTCTGTCTGTCTCTGTCTCTGTCTCTCTGTCTCTCTCTCTCTCTCTCTCTCTCTCTGTCTGTCTGTCCGTCTGTCTGTCTCGGTCTCTGGCTCTCGCTATCTCCCGCCCTCTCTTTTTTTGCAAAAGAAGCTCAAGTACATCTAATCTAATCCCTTACCAAGGCCTGAATTCTTCACTTCTGACATCCCAGATTTGATCTCCCTACAGAATGCTGTACAGAACTGGCGAGTTGATTTCTGGACTTGGATACCTCATAGAAACTACATATGAATAAAGATCCAATCCTAAAATCTGGGGTGGCTTCTCCCTCGACTGTCTCGAAAAATCGTACCTCTGTTCCCCTAGGATGCCGGAAGAGTTTTCTCAATGTGCATCTGCCCGTGTCCTAAGTGATCTGTGACCGAGCCCTGTCCGTCCTGTCTCAAATATGTACGTGCAAACACTTCTCTCCATTTCCACAACTACCCACGGCCCCTTGTGGAACCACTGGCTCTTTGAAAAAAATCCCAGAAGTGGTTTTGGCTTTTTGGCTAGGAGGCCTAAGCCTGCTGAGAACTTTCCTGCCCAGGATCCTGTGTGACCAAAAGTGCCTCTGCTGGGAGCTGGGATCCTCGGGACCATGCTTGCTAGCGCTGGATGAGTCTCTGGAAGGACGCACGGGACTCCGCAAAGCTGACCTGTCCCACCGAGGTCAAATGGATACCTCTGCATTGGCCCGAGGCCTCCGAAGTACATCACCGTCACCAACCGTCACCGTCAGCATCCTTGTGAGCCTGCCCAAGGCCCCGCCTCCGGGGAGACTCTTGGGAGCCCGGCCTTCGTCGGCTAAAGTCCAAAGGGATGGTGACTTCCACCCACAAGGTCCCCACTGAACGGCGAAGATGTGGAGCGTAGGTCAGAGAGGGGACCAGGAGGGGAGACGTCCCGACAGGCGACGAGTTCCCAAGGCTCTGGCCACCCCACCCACGCCCCACGCCCCACGTCCCGGGCACCCGCGGGACACCGCCGCTTTATCCCCTCCTCTGTCCACAGCCGGCCCCACCCCACCACGCAACCCACGCACACACGCTGGAGGTTCCAAAACCACACGGTGTGACTAGAGCCTGACGGAGCGAGAGCCCATTTCACGAGGTGGGAGGGGTGGGGGTGGGGTGGGTTGGGGGTTGTGGGGTCTGTGGCGAGCCCGATTCTCCCTCTTGGGTGGCTACAGGCTAGAAATGAATATCGCTTCTTGGGCGGAGGGGCTTCCTTAGGCCATCACCGCTTGCGGGACTACCTCTCAAACCCTCCCTTGAGGCCACAAAATAGATTCCACCCCACCCATCGACGTTTCCCCCGGGTGCTGGATGTATCCTGTCAAGAGACCTGAGCCTGACACCGTCGAATTAAACACCTTGACTGGCTTTGTGTGTTTGTTTGTTTCTGAGATGGAGTCTTGCTCTGTCCCCCAGGCTGGAGTGCAGTGGCGTGATCTCAGCTCACTGGAACCTCTGCCTCCTGGGTTCAAGTGATTCTCCTGTCTCAGCGCCACCATGGCCGGCTCTTTTTTTTTTTTTTTTTTTTTGGTAGACACGGGGTTTCACCCTCTTTCATTGGTTTTCACTGGAGATTCTAGATTCGAGCCACACCTCATTCCGTGCCACAGAGAGACTTCTTTTTTTTTTTTTTTTTAAGCGCAACGCAACATGTCTGCCTTATTTGAGTGGCTTCCTATATCATTATAATTGTGTTATAGATGAAGAAACGGTATTAAACACTGTGCTAATGATAGTGAAAGTGAAGACAAAAGAAAGGCTATCTATTTTGTGGTTAGAATAAAGTTGCTCAGTATTTAGAGCTACCTAAATACGTCAGCATTTACACTCTTCCTAGTAAAAGCTGGCCAATCTGAATAATCCTCCTTTAAACAAACACAATTTTTGATAGGGTTAAGATTTTTTTAAGAATGCGACTCCTGCAAAATAGCTGAACAGACGATACACATTTAAAAAAATAACAACACAAGGATCAACCAGACTTGGGAAAAAATCGAAAACCACACAAGTCTTATGAAGAACTGAGTTCTTAAAATAGGACGGAGAACGTAGCTATCGGAAGAGAAGGCAGTATTGGCAAGTTGATTGTTACGTTGGTCAGCAGTAGCTGGCACTATCTTTTTGGCCATCTTTCGGGCAATGTAACTACTACAGCAAAATGAGATATGATCCATTAAACAACATATTCGCAAATCAAAAAGTGTTTCAGTAATATAATGCTTCAGATTTAGAAGCAAATCAAATGATAGAACTCCACTGCTGTAATAAGTCACCCCAAAGATCACCGTATCTGACAAAATAACTACCACAGGGTTATGACTTCAGAATCATACTTTCTCTTGATATTTACTTATGTATGTATTTATTTTTTTTAATTTATTTCTCTTGAGACGGCGTCTCGCTCTGTCGCCCAGGCTGGAGTGCGATGGTGTGATCTCGGCTCACTGCAACCGCCACCTCCCTGGGTTCAAGCGATTCTCCTGCCTCAGCCTCCCGAGTAGCTGGGACTACAGGTGCCCGCCACCACGCCCAGCTAATCTTTATACTTTTAATAGAGACGGGGTTTCACCGTGTCGGCCCGGATGGTCTCGATCTCTTGACCTCGTGACCCGCCCGCCTCGGCCTCCCAAAGTGCTGGGATGACAGGCGTGAGCCACTGAGCCCGGCCTTCTCTTGACGTTTAAACTATGAAGTCAGTCCAGAGAAACGCAATAAATGTCAACGGTGAGGATGGTGTTGAGGCAGAAGTAGGACCACACTTTTTCCTATCTTATTCAGTTGATAACAATATGACCTAGGTAGTAATTTCCTATGTGCCTACTTATACACGAGTACAAAAGAGTAAAACAGAGAGACTGCTAAATTAAAGGGTACGTGAAGTTCTTCATAGTAACTCCGTAAACTGGAACACTGTCAAAAAGCAGCAGCTAGTGAATTGTTTCCATGTATTTTTCTATTATCCAATAAGTGAACTATGCTATTCCTTTCCAGTCTCCCAAGCACTTCTTGTCCCCATCACCACTTCGGTGCTCGAAGAAAAAGTAACAAATCAAGGAACACAACTAAAGAAACACACACACAAACCAAAGACAACTACAGCGTCTGCAAAAGTTTGCTAGAAGACTGAAACTGTTGAGTATAAGGATCTGGTATTCTACGATCATGAGTTCACTTCAGAGTTTGTTCAAGACATACGTTTCGTAAGGAAACATCTTAGTTAGAAGTTATTCAGCAGTAGGTACCATCCCTAAGTATTTTTCACCAAATTCGTGACAATAAAGAGCTATCTAACCAGAAAAATTAGCGAGTACCGGCACCATCCATAGGGCTTTGTCTTTACGCTTCATTAGCACTTACCATGCCTTACAATGTCTAGGATTGACCCTGATAGCATTTCGAAAACAAGCTAATGCTTTGTCCAGTTCTTCAGTGAAGACAAGCTCACGCCCTAATGCGCTATAGGCATAAGCATCATTTGGATCCACTTCGAGAGTTCTCTGGAAGAATTGAATCGCAATATCGTGTTCCCGTTGCAGACCGAAACAGTTCCCTGCAGCACACCAGGCCTCTGGCTGGCGAATTTTTATCCATGTCTGTGAAGTCTTTGGACAGAACTGAAAGAGCAACCTCTTTCGGAGGATGCCAAAGTGTTGTAGAGTAGATCTCCATGCCTTCGACTCTGTAATTCTCAATCCTCCTAACCTCTGAGAATTGTCTTTCAGCTTGCGTGGACTCTGAAAGTTTACAATAGGCCCTTCCGATTTGGCACAGTACCCAACCGGTATTGCAGTGGTGAGAAGCTAGATGGCTCAAGATGCTGATAGCTTCTTTGCCGTGGTAAGAACACAAAGCTAAATAACCTTTCCCCCTTTCACGAAGAAGGCTCATCAAGCCTTCCGCTGCTGCTTTTTGTAGATTAAAAGCCTGAATCTGAGGCGCGATTGTGGCTATTTTCCCTTCTGAAATGACGGAAGAGTCCAATTTTGTCACTTCCAGGCTATCACTTATGTTCGGTGGAGTTATTGCTCCTTTATTAGTTTTACTTTTGGTTCTTCTGTTTGGGATTTTAGGTGGAAACTTCATTTTTAATTTTCTCCTATTCTCCTCGGTTGTGGAGCTGTCACTAGTCAAGAGTCGTGAATTTCTTCGAGGCGGTGCATTTGGGGGAGATGCCATAGTGGGGCTCAATACCTGAGGTGTTGCCCTTGTCGGCGGACCAGAACTTTGTGTTTTTGCAAGGACTGGAGTTACCTTTCGGCTCTTTCCCCTCTGCGAGAAGACAGACGGTGTTCCGGTTTGGCCGATTCTGGCAACAGGCTTTTTTGAAGGGGCTCCGGTGGATGGCACGTCAATGACAGACGGTGTCTCATACCAGTGCAGTTTTGTCAATAGGGTCCGTCTCCGGGACTTGGGGTTTCTAATGGCAAAATGCCAACACTTGGGGTTAATGGACTAACAGCTGCTGGTCCTCCTAATAAACTTCGACCAGTTTTTGGTTTATGTTGAACCTGTTTAGATCATATGGAAGTTCCTGTTCCCAGTGGGACAGTATCAGGTGAAAGGACAGCTGAATCGATAGAAGACACTGGGGAGTCTGTATTCAAGGAGTACTTTGAATTGGAAGATTCTAAATTCCATCCGTTTCATTCGACGGTGTCCTGGGGTGTTTCCGTAAGAACGGTCTCGGGCTGTCTGTGACATAAACTAGGACGAGGTCCAAGTGTTGTGGCGCAACACTTGGACAGGCAGTTGCTAAAGCTCTCTAGAGAGGTGAATCAAAATGTTTGGTCAGGATCTGGCTTTTCCCCCCTATTTCACATCATGATTCAAAGGGACACCAGAAGGAAAGGATTTCAACGAAGGCTCTTTTGGTCACATTCTGATCCTTTGGTAAGCCGATCTGTCTTGCAATATACATGTCCCGACGATGGAAGGGGAAAGCGAGCTGAATCACCAAACTCAGGAACGATAATATCATCGTGGCTTTTCTGCTTATGAAACACTCCACCCGATAAGATTTGATCCCCTTCTGCAAGCTTGCTGAGATCAACACAACATTTCGCAAGCAGGCATTTGCATTGCGGGGTAGTACAACTGTGTCCTTTCAAGAGTCTATATGTTTTATAGGCCTTTCCTGAGCGGTAAGAACAGGTCGCCAGTAAGAACAAGGCTTCTTCTGAGTGTACTTCTGCATAAAGGCGTTCTGCGGGGGAAACCGCATCTCGGTAGGCATAGTGGTTTAGTGCTTGCCATATAGCAGCCTGGACGGGTCCCTGCAGCACCGCCATCCTCGAGGCTCAGGCCCACTTTCTGCAGTGCCACAGGCACCCCCCCCCCCCCCATAGCGGCTCCGGCCCGGCCAGCCTCGGCTCATTTAAAGGCACCAGCCGCCGTTACCGGGGGATGGGGGAGTCCGAGACAGAATGACTTCTTTATCCTGCTGACTCTGGAAAGCCCGGCGCCTTGTGATCCATTGCAAACCGAGAGTCACCTCGTGTTTAGAACACGGATCCACTCCCAAGTTCAGTGGGGGGATGTGAGGGGTGTGGCAGGTAGGACGAAGGACTCTCTTCCTTCTGATTCGGTCTGCACAGTGGGGCCTAGGGCTGGAGCTCTCTCCGTGCGGACCGCTGACTCCCTCTACCTTGGGTTCCCTCGGCCCCACCCTGGAACGCCGGGCCTTGGCAGATTCTGGCCCTTCCTGGCCCTTCAGTCGCTGTCAGAAACCCCATCTCATGCTCGGATGCCCCGAGTGACTGTGGCTCGCACCTCTCCGGAAACATTGGAAATCTCTCCTCTACGCGCGGCCACCTGAAACCACAGGAGCTCGGGACACACGTGCTTTCGGGAGAGAATGCTGAGAGTCTCTTGCCGACTCTCTCTTGACTTGAGTTCTTCGTGGGTGCGTGGTTAAGACGTAGTGAGACCAGATGTATTAACTCAGGCCGGGTGCTGGTGGCTCACGCCTGTAACCCCAACACTTTGGGAGGCCGAGGCCGTAGGATCCCTCGAGGAATCGCCTAACCCTGGGGAGGTTGAGGTTGCAGTGAGTGAGCCATAGTTGTGTCACTGTGCTCCAGTCTGGGCGAAAGACAGAATGAGGCCCTGCCACAGGCAGGCAGGCAGGCAGGCAGGCAGAAAGACAACAGCTGTATTATGTTCTTCTCAGGGTAGGAAGCAAAAATAACAGAATACAGCACTTAATTAATTTTTTTTTTTCCCTTCGGACGGAGTTTCACTCTTGGTGCCCACGCTGGAGTGCAGTGGCACCATCTCGGCTCACCGCAACCTCCACCTCCCGCGTTCAAGCGATTCTCCTGCCTCAGCCTCCTGAGTAGCTGGGATTACAGGGAGGAGCCACCACACCCAGCTGATTTTGTATTGTTAGTAGAGACGGCATTTCTCCATGTGGGTCAGGCTGGTCTCGAACTGGCGACCCCAGTGGATCTGCCCGCCCCGGCCTCCCAAAGTGCTGGGGTGACAGGCGTGAGCCATCGTGACTGGCCGGCTACGTTTATTTATTTATTTTTTTAATTATTTTACTTTTTTTTAGTTTTCCATTTTAATCTATTTATTTATTTACATTTATTTATTTATTTATTTATTTACTTATTTATTTATTTTCGAGACAGACTCTCGCTCTGCTGCCCAGGCTGGAGTGCAGCGGCGTGATCTCGGCTCACTGCAAGCTCCGCCTCCCGGGTTCACGCCATTCTCCTGCCTCAGCCTCCCAAGTAGCTGGGACTACAGGCGCCCGCCACCGTGGCCGGCTAACTTTTTGTATTTTGAGTAGAGATGGGGTTTCACTGTGGTAGCCAGGATGGTCTCGATCTCCTGACCCCGTGATCCGTCCACCTCGGCCTCCCAAAGTGCTGGGATGACAGGCGTGAGCCACCGCCCCCGGCCTATTTATCTATTTATTAACTTTGAGTCCAGGTTATGAAACCAGTTAGTTTTTGTAATTTTTTTTTTTTTTTTTTTTTTTGAGACGAGGTTTCACCGTGTTGCCAAGGCTTGGACCGAGGGATC